>NT_167213.1:0-179198 GCF_000001405.40 Homo sapiens | reverse complement strand
GAATTCCAGAACACTGCAACGAGGGTCTGAATGTTGGTCCGTAACATAGGATTCCAGAAGATTCCCTCTGTTGTTTGAATGTTTGTCCCTCAAATAGGATTGCAGAACACTTCTGCTGTGGTCTAAAAATTTGTACCTCACAGAGGATTCCTGAATAGTACTAAGATTGTCTCAGTGTTTGTCCCTCACATAGAATTCAAAGCATTCCGACGAGGGCCTGAATGTGTGTCCCTCACATTGGATTACAGAACACTGCTACTATTGTCTGAATGTTTATCCCACACATTGGATTCCAGAACACTGCTTCGAGGGTCTGAATGTTTGTCCCTCACATAGGATTCCAGAACATTGCTGCTGGGGTCTAAATGTTTGTCTCTCACTTAGGATTCCAGAACACTGCTACAGAGGTCTGAATGTTGGGTCCTCACAGGGGATTCCAGAACACTCCTGCTGTGGTCTGAATGTCAATCACATGGGATTCCAGAACACTGCTACGAGGGTCTGAATGTTTGTCCCTCACATAGGATTCCAAAACACTCCTGCAGTATTCTGAGAGTTTGTTCCTCACATAGAATTCCAGAGCATACCAGATCTGGTCTGAATCCTTATCCCTTACATAATTTTCCAGAACACCGCTGCTTGGTTCTGAGAGTTTGTCTCTCAGATAGGATACCAGAACACTGCTACTAGGGTCTCAATATTTGTCCCTTACATTGCATTCCAGAATACTGCTGCTGGCGTCTAAATGTTTGTCAGTCACATAAGATTTCAGAACACTGTTAGGGCAGTCTGAATGTTTGTTCCTCACAGGAGATTCCAGAACACTCCTGCTGTGGTCTGAATGTTTCTCTCTAACATAGGATTCCAGAACACTGCTATGGGGGTCTGAATGTTTGTCCCTCACGCAGAAATCCAGGACACTGCTATGAGGATCTGAATGTTTGTCCCTTACATAGGATTCCAAAACACTCCTGCTGTTTTCTGAGTGTATGTTACTCACATAGGAGTCCAGAACAATCCTGCTGTTGTCTGAATGTTTGTCCCTCACATAGGGTTCCTGAATGCTGCTGCTGGTTTCTGAGTGTTTGTCCCTCTTATAGGATTCCAGAACAATTCGACGAAGGTCTGAATGTTTGTCCCTCACATAGGATTCTAGAACACTGCTGCTGGGGTCTACAAGTACATCCATCATATAGGATTCCAGAAAACTGCTGCTGGGTTCTCAGTGTTCCTCCCTCACATACAATTTCAGAACACTGCAATGAGCATCTGAATGTTTGTCCATAACATAGGATTCCAGAACACTCCCGCTGTTGATTGAATGTTTTTCCCTCACAGAAGATTCCAGAACACTTGTGCTGGCTTCTGAATGTTTGTCCCTCACATAGGATTCCAAAACACTGCTACAATTGTCTGAATGTGTGTCCCTCACATACGATTCCAGAACACTGTTACGAGTGTCTGAATATTTGTCCTTAACGTAGGATTACAGAACTCTGTTATAATTGTCGGAAAGTTTGTCCCTCACATAGGATTCCAGAACACTTCTATGAGGGTCTGAATGTTTGTCCCTCACATAAAATGGCAAAACACTGAAGCTGTGTTCCGAGTATTTGTCCCTCACATAGGGACCCAGAAAAATGCTGCTGGGTTCTTAGTGTTTGTCCCTCACATAGGATTCCAGAACACTGCTACTAGTGTCTGAATGTTTGTCCCTCACGTAGCACTCCAGAACACTGCTGCTGGGGTCTCAATGTTTGTCAGTCACATAGGATTCCAGAACACTGCTACGATAGCCTGAATGTTTGTTCTTCATAGGGGATTCCAGAATACTCCTGTTGTGATCTGAATATTTGTCCCTCACACTGGACTCCAGAACACTGCTACGAGGGTCTGAATGATTGTCCCTCAAGCAATATTCCAGAACACTGCTGCTGGGGTCTGAATGATTGTTCCTCACGCAGCATTCCACAGCACTGCTTCTGGGGTCTACATGTATGTCCACTACATAGGATTCCAGAACACTGCAGCTGGGTTCTGAGTGTTTCTCCCTCACAGAGAATTCTAGAACACTGTGACGAGAACCTGAATGTTTGTCTGTAACATAGGATTCCAGAACACTCCCGCTGTTGTTTGAATGTTTGTCCCTCACATAGGATTCCAGAACACTGCTGCTTGGATCAGAAAGTTTGTCCCTTACACAGGATTCCAGAACACTGCTACGATTGTCTGAATATTTCTCCCTCACATAAGATTCCAGAACACTGTTGCTGGGGTTTAAATGTTTGTCTGACACATAGGATTCCAGAACACTGCTACGGGGTTCTGAAAGTTTGTTCCTCACAGGTGATTCCAGAACACTCCTTTTGTGGTCTGAATGTTGGCCCTGAAGCAGAATTCCAGAACAGTGCTGTGTGGGTCTGAATGATTGTCCCTTACATCGATGCCAGAACACTGCTGCAGGGGTCTGAATGTTTGTCCCTCACATAGGATTCCAGAAAACTTCTAAGAGGGTCTGAATGCTTGTCCCTCACACAGAATTCCAGAGCACTGCTATGAGGGTCTGAATGATTGCAAATCACATAGGATTCCAGAACACTGCTGCGGGGGTCTGAACATTTGTCAATCACATAGGATTCCAGAACACTGTTGCTGGGGTCTACATGCATGTCCATCACATAGGTTTCCAGAACACTGCTGCAGGGTCTAAATGTTAGTCCGTCACATAGGATTCCAGAACAATGCTACGAGGGTCTGAATGTTTGTCCGAAACATAGAATTCCATAATTCTCCCGCCGTTGTTTGAATGTTTGTCCCACACATAGTATTCGAAAACACTACATCTGGGGTCCGAATGTTTGTCCCTCACATAGGATTCCAGAACATCCCTGTTGTGGTCTGAATGTTCGTCCTCACACAGAATTGCAGAACACTGATACGAGTGTCTGAGTGATTGTCCCTCACGTCGGATTCCAGAACACTGCTGCTGGGGTCTGAATTTTCTCCCTCACATAGAATTCTGAAGGGGTGGGTTGCCCCTCCACACCTGTGGGTTTTTCTTGTTAGGTGGAATGAGAGACATGGAAAAGAAAAAGACACAGAGACAAAATATAGAGAAAGAAATAAGGGGACCCAGGGAACCAGCGTTCAGCATATGGAGGATCCCGTCAGCCTCTGAGTTCCCTTAGTATTTATTGATCATTTGTGGGTGTTTCTCCGAGAGGGTGATGTGTCAGGGTCACAAGACAATAGTGGGGATAGGGTCAGCAGACAAACACGTGAACAAAGGTCTTTGCATCATAGACAAGGTAAAGAATCAAGTGCTGTGCTTTTAGATATGCATACACATAAACATCTCAATGCTTTACAAAGCAGTATTGCTGCCCGCATGTCCCACCTCCAGCCCTAAGGCGGTTTTTCCCTATCTCAGTAGATGGGACGTACAATCGGGTTTTATACCGAGACATTCCATTGCCCATGGACGGGCAGGAGACAGATGCCTTCCTCTTGTCTCAACTGCAAGAGGCATGCCTTCCTCTTATACTAATCCTCCTCAGCACAGACCATTTACGGGTGTCGGGCTGGGGGACGGTCAGGTCTTTCCCTTCCCATAAGGCCATATTTCAGACTATCCCATGGGGATATACCTTGGACAATACCTGGCTTTCCTAGGCAGAGGTCCCTGCGGCCTTCCGCAGTTTTTGTGTCCCTGGGTACTTGAGATTAGGGAGTAGTGATGACTCTTAAGGAGCATGCTGCCTTCAAGCAACTGTTTAACAAAGCACATCTTGCACAACACTTAATCCATTTAACCCTGAGTTTGACACAGCACATATTTCAGAGAGCACGGGGTTGGGGGTAAGGTCATAGATTAACAGAATCTCAAGGCAGAATAATTTTTCTTAGTACAGAACAAAATGGAGTCTCCTATGTCTACTTCTTTCTACACAGACACAGTAACAATCTGATCTCTCTTGCTTTTCCCCACAGAATTCCAGAGCATTGCAACGAGGGTCTGAATGTTTGCATGAAACATATGATTCCAGGACACTAGTGCTGTTGTTTCAATGTTTGTCCCACACATATGATTCGAAAACACTACTGCTGGGGTCTGAGTATTTGTCCCTCACATAGGGTTCCAGAACACTGCTACGAGGGTCTGAATGATTGTCCCTCACGTAGGATTCCGGAACACTACCGCTGGGGTAAAAATGTTTTTCTGTCACAAAGGATTCCAGAACACTGCTACGAGGGTCTGCATGTTCGTTTCTCACGAGGTATTCCAGAACACTCCTGCTGTCGTCTGAATGTTTGTCCCTCACACAGGATTCCAGAATACTACTACGAGTGTCTGAATATTTGTCCCTCAAAGAGAATTCCAGAACACTGCTACGAGGTTCGGAATGATTGTCCATCACATAGGATTCCAGAACACTGCTGCTGGGCTCTTATGTTTGTCCCTCACTTAGGATACCAGAACACTCCTACTATTGTCTGAAAGTTTGTCCTTCACATAGAGTATCAGAACACGGCTACGATGGTCTGAATGTTCGTACCACACTTGGGATTCCAGAACACTCCTGCTGGAGTCTAAATGTTTGTCCCTCACATAGGATTCCAGAACACTGCTACGTGGATCTCAATGTTTGTTCCTCACAGTAGTTTCCACAACACTCTTGCTGTGGTCTGAATATTTGTCAATCACATTGGATTCCAGAACACTGCTACAAGGGTCTGTATGTTTGTCCCTCACATAGGATTCCAAAACACTCCTGCTGTGTTCTGAATATTTGTCAATCACATTGGATTCCAGAACACTGCTACGAGGGTCTGTATGTTTGTCCCTCACATAGGATTCCAAAACACTCCTGCTGTGTTCTGAATGTGTGTCCAACACATAGGATTCCAGAGCAATCCTACTCTGGTCTGAATGTTTGTCTATTACATAGTTTTCCAGAACACTGCTGCTTGGTTCCGAGTGTTTATTCCTCACATAGGATTCCAGAACACTGCTACTAGGTTCTGAATGTTTCTCCCTCACAGAGGATTCCAGAACACTCCTGTGGTGGTCTGAATTTTTGTCCGTCACATTGGATTCCAGAACACCGCTACGAGGGTCTGAATGTTTGTCTCTCACACAGAATTCCAGAACACTGCTACGAGGGTCTGTATGATTGTCCCTCACATAGGATTCCAGAACACTCCTGCTGTGGTCTGAAAGTTTGTCCCTCACATAGCATTCAAGAATACTGCTGCTGGGTTTTGAGTGTTTGTCCCTCACATAGGATTCCAGAACACTGTTACCATTGTCTGAATGTTTGTCCCTCGCATAGGATTCCAGAACACTGCTGCTGGGGTCTAAAAGTTTGTCACGTAGGATTCCAGAACACTGCTACGACTGTCTAAACGTTTGTTCCTCACAGAGGATTCCAGAACACTACTGCTGTTGTCTGAATGTCCCTCACAAAGGATTTCAGAACACTGCTACGAGGGTCTGAATGTTTTTCCCTCACACAGAATTCCAGAACACTGCTATGAGGGACTGAATGATTCTCCCACACACAGAATTCCAGAACACTGTTACGAATTTCTGAATGATTGTCACTCACATAGGATTGCAGAACACTGCTTCTCGGGTCTGAATCTTTGTCTCTCACATAGGATTCTGGAACACTTCCGCTGGGGTCTACATGTATGTCCATCACATGGGATTCTAGAACACTGCTGCTGGGATCTGAGTGTTTCTCACTCACATATAACTCCAGATCACTGTGAAGAGTGTCGGAATCTTTGTCCATAATATAGGATGTCAGAACAATCCCGCAGTTGTTTGAATGTTTTTCCCTCACATAGGATTGCAGAACACTGTCCCTGGGGTCCGAATGTTTGGCCCACACATAGGTTTCCAGAACACTGCTAGGATTGTCTGAATTTTTGTCCCTCACTTAGGATTCCAGAACAATGTTACGAGTGTCTGAATGATTGTCCCTCACATAGGATTCCAGGACACTGCTGCTGTGATCTAAATGTTTGCCCATCACATAGGATTCCAGAAGACCATTACGAGGGTATGAATGTTTCTTCCTCACAGGGGATTGCAGAACACTCCTGCTGTGGTCTGAATGTTTGTTCCTCACATAGGATTCCTGAACACTTCTATGAGGGTCTGAATGTTTGTCCCTCACGTAGGATACCAGAACACTACTGCTGTGGTCTGAATGTTTGCCCTCACATAGAATTCCAGTACACTGCGACGAGGGTCTGAATGATTTTCCTAAACATAGGATTCCAGAACACTCCCGCTGTTGTTTGAATGATTGTCCCTCACATAGGATTCCAGAACACTGCTGCTGTTGTCTAAATGTTTGTCAGTCACATAGGATTCCAGAACACTGCTACGAGGGTCTGAATGTTTGTTCCTCACCGGGCATTCCACAACAATCCTGCTGTTGTCTGAATGTTTTTTCCTCACACAGGATTCCAGAATAATGACACGAGGGTATGAACGTTTGTCCCTGACCCAGAATCCAGAACACTGCTATGAGGATCTGAATGATTGTCCCTCAAATAGGATTCCAGAACACTGCTGCTGGGATCTGAATGTGTGTCCCTCATATAGGATTCCAGAACACTGCTACGAGGTTCTGAAACTTTGTCAATCACACAGAATTCCAGAACACTGCTATGAGGGTCTGAATGATTGTCCCTTACATAGGATTCCAGAACACAGCTGCTGCGGTCTGAATGTTTCTCCCTCACGTAGGATTCCAGAACACTGCCACGATTCTCTCAATGTTTGTCCCTCACATAGGATTCCAGAACACTGCTATGAGGGTCTGAATATTTGTCCCTCACATAGGATTAAAGAACACTACTGCTGTGGTCTCAATGTTTGTCCCTCACATGGGATTCCTGAACAATGTTAAGAGGGTCTGAAAGATTTTTCCTCACATCGGATTCCAGAACAATCCTGCTGTGGTCTGAATGTTTGTCCCTCACACAGGATTCCAGAACACTGCTGCAGGCGTCTGAATGTTTGTCCCTCACTCATAATTCCAGAACACTGCTAAGAGGGTCTGAATGATTGTCCCTCACATAGGATGCCAAAACACTGCTGCTGGAGTCTGAATGTTTGTCTCTCACATAGGATTCCAGAACACTGCTGCTGGGGTCTACATGTATGACAGTCATGTAGGATTCCAGAACACTTCTACGATTGTCAGACTGGTTGTCCCTCACATGGGATTCCGGAACACTGCTATGAGTTTCTGAATGTTTGTCTCTCACATAGGATTCCAGAACACTGCTACCGTGGCCTGAATGTTTTCCCCTCACATAGGATTCCAGAACACACATTCGAGGGTCTCAATGTTTGTTCCTCACACAGAATCCCAGAACACTGCTATGAGAGTCTGAATGATTTTTCCTCACATAGTTTTCCATAACAATGCTGTCTTGGTCTGAATGTTTGTCCCTCACATAGGATTCCATACCACTGCTGCTGGGGTATACATGTGTGTCTGTCACATAGGATTCCGGAGCACTGCTGCTGGGTTCTGAGTCTTTCTCCCTCACATAGAACTCCAGAGCACTGCGACGAGGTTCTGAAAGTTTGTTTGCAATAAAGGATTCCAGAACACTCCCGCTGTTGTTTCAATGTTTGTAACTCACATAGGATTCCGGAATACTTTTGCTGAGGTCTAAATGTTTGTCCGTCACTTAGGATTCCAGAACACTGCTACAAGGGTCTGAAGGTTTGTCCCTCACACAGAATTCCAGAACACTGCTACGATGGTCTGAATGATTGTCCCTCACATGGGACTCCAGAACACTGCTGCTGGGTTCTGAATGTTTGTCCCTCACATAGGATTCCATGACACGGCTTCAGGGTTCTACAGGTATGTCCGTCACATGGTATTCCAGAACAATGCTGCAGGATTCTGAGTGTTCCTCCCTCACAAAGAATTCCAGAAGACTGCGACGAGGATCTGAATGTTTGTCCATAACATAGGATTCCAGAAGACTCCCGCTGTTGTTTGAATGTTTGTCCCTCACGTAGGATTCCAGAAGACTCCCGCTGTTGCTTGAATGTTTGTCCCTCACATAGGATTCCAGAACACTGCTGCTTGAGTCTGAAAGTTTTTTCTTCACACAGGATTCCAGAACACTGCTATGATTGTCTGAATGTTTGTCACTCCATAGGATTCCAGAACACTGCAACGAGGGTCTGAAAGTTTGTCTCTCACTGTGGATTCCAAAACACTCTGCTGTGGTCTGAATGTTTGTCCCTCACTTAGGATCCAGAACAGTGATACGAGGGTCTGAATGTTCGTTCCTCTCTTAGGACTCTAGAACACTGCTACGATTGTCTGAAAGTTTGTCCCTCACTTAGGATCCAGAACAGTGATACGAGGGTCTGAATGTTTGTCCCTCACATAGGATTCCAGAACACTCCTGTTGTGGTCTGAATGTCTGTCCCTCTTATAGGATTGCAGAACACTGTTTCTAGATTGTCAGTGTTTGTCCCTCACATAGGATTCTGGAACACTGCTACAAGGGTCTGAATATTTGTCACACACATAGGATTCCAAAACACTGCTGCTGGGGTCTCAGTGTTTGTCCCTCACACAGGATTCCAGAACACTGCTACTGGGGTCTACATGTATGGCTGTCACATAGGATTCCAGATCACTGCTGCTGGGTTCTGAATGTATCTCCCTCACATAGAATTCCAGAACACTGCGACGAGAGCCTGAATGTTTCTCCATAAAGTAGTATTCCGGAACACTCTCGCTGTAGTTTGAATGTTTGTCCTTCACATAGGATTCCAGAACACTGCCACGAGGTTCTGAATGTTTGTTCCTTACTGGGGATTCCAGAACACTCCTCTTGTGTTGTGAATATTTATCCATCACACAGGATTCCAGAACACTCCTATGAGGGTCTCAACGTTGGTCCCTCTCATATGGTTCCAGAACACTGCTAGTAGGTTCTCAGTGTTTGTCCCAAACCTAGGATTCCAGAATACTGCTGCTGGCGTCTAAATGTTTGTCCATCACATAGGATTCCAGAACACTGCTATGAGGGTTTGAATGATTGTCCCTCACGTAGGATTCCAGAACACTGCTGCTGGGGTCTACAGGTACGTCCATCACATAGGATTCCAGAACACTGATACGAGGTTCTGAATATTTGCTCCTCACAGGGGATTCCAGAAACCTCCTGCTGTGTTCTGAATGTTTGTCCCTCACACAGGATTCCAGAACACAGCTACAAGGGTCAGAATGTTTGTCCCTCACACAGAATTCCAGAACACTGCTATAATGGTCTGAATGATTGTCCCTCACATGGGACTCCAGAACACTGTTGCTGGGTTCTGAATGTTTGTCCCTCACGTAGGATTCCAGAAGATGGCTGCAGGGCTCTACATGTATGTCTGTCACATGGGATTCCAGAACAATGCTGCAGGATTCTGAGTCTTCCTCCCTCACATAGAACTCCAGAAAACTGCGACGAGGGTCTGAATGTTTGTCCGTAACATAGGATTGCAGAAGACTCCCGCTGTTGTTTGAATGTTTGTTTCTCACATAGAATTCCAGAACACTGCTGCTTGAGTCTGAAGGTTTTTCCTTCACACAGGATTCCAGAACACTGTTACGATTGTCTGAATGTTTGTCACTCTGTAGGATTCCAGAACACTGCAAAGAAGGTCTGAAAGTTTGTCCCTCACTGTGGATTCCAGAACACTCTGCTGTGGTCTGAATATTTATCCCTCACTTCGGATCCAGAACAGTGATACGATGGTCTGAATTTTCGTCCCTCACTTAGGATTCCCCAACACTGCTACGATTGTCTGAGTGATTGTCCCTCACATAGGATTCCAGAACACTCCTGCTGTGGTCTGAAGGTCTGTCCCTCACATAGGGTTGCAGAACACTGCTGCTAGATTCTCAGTGTTTGTCCCTCACATAGGATTCCGGAACACTGCTACAAGGGTCTGAATATTTGTCACACACATAGGATTCCAAAACACTGCTGCTAGGGTCTGAATGTTTGTCCCTCACATAGGATTCCAGAACACTGCTGCTGGGGTCTACATGTATGGCCGTCACATAGGATTCCAGATCACTGCTGCTGGGTTCTGTATGTTTCTCCCTCACATAGAATTCCAGAACACTGCGACGAGGGTCATAATGTTTCTCTGTAACGTAGCATCCCACAACAATCTTGCTGTTGTTTGAATGTTTGTCCCTCACATAGGATTCCAGTGCACTGCTACTGGGGGCGGAGTTTTTGTCCCTCCCATAGGATTCCAGAACACTGTTACGATTGTCTGAATGTTTGTCCCTCATATAGGATTCCAGAAGAATCCTCTACAAGTGTCTGGATGTTTGTCCCTCACAGAGGATTCCAGAACACTATTATGATTGTCTGAATGTTTGTCACTCACATAGGATTCCAGAGCAGTGCTATGAGGTTCTGAATGTTTTTCCCTAACTTAAGATTCCTGAATACTGCAACGAGGGTCTAAATGTTTGTCTGTAACATAGGATTACGGAAAACTACCCCTGTTGTTTCAATGTTTGTCCCTCACATTAGATTCCAGAACACTGCAACTAGGGTCTGAATGTTTGTCCCTCACATAGGATTCCAAAACACTCCTGCCATGCTCTGAGTGTTTATCCCTTACACAGGATGCCAGAACAATCCTGCTGTGGTCTGAAAGTTGTTCCCTTACATAGGGTTCCAGAACACTGCTGCTGGGTTCTGAGTGTTTTTTCCTCACATAGGATTTCATAACACTACCGGAAGGGTCTGAATGTTTGTTCCTCACATAGCATTCCAGAACACTGCTGTTGGGGTCTAAGTGTTTGTCCGTCACATAGGATTCCAGAACACTGCCACGAGGTTCTGAATGTTTGTTCCTTACAGGGGATTCCAGAACAATCCTGTTGTGTTGTCAATGTTTGTCCCTCACACAGGATTCCAGAACACTGCTGTGAGGATCTGAATTTTTGTCCCTCACACAGAATTCCAGAACACTGCTATGAGGGTCTGAATGATTGTCCCTCACGTAGGATTCCAGAACACTGTTGCTGGGGTCCACAGGTATGTCCATCACATAGGATTCCAGAACACTGATACGAGATTCTGAATATTTGCTCCTCACAGGGGATTTCAGAAACCTCCTGCTGTGTTCTGAATGTGTGTCCCTCACACAGGATTCCAGAACACTGCTACAAGGGTCTGAATGTTTGTCCCTCACACAGAATTCCAGAACACAGTTACGATGGTCTGAATGATTGTCCCTCACATGGGACTCCAGAACACTGTTTCTGGGTTCTGAATGTTTGTCCCTCACATAGGATTCCAGAACACGGCTGCATGGGTCTATATGTATTTCTGTCACATGGGATCCCAGAACAATGCTGCAGGATTCTGAGTGCTCATCCCTCACATAGAATTCCAGAAGACTGCGACGGGATCTGAATGTCTGTCGGTAACATAGGCTTCCAGAAGACTCCCGCTGTTGTTTGAATGTTTGTCCCTCACATAGGATTCCAGAACACTGCTGCTTGAGTCTGAAAGACTTTTCCTTACAGAGGATTCCAGAACACTGCTACGATTGTCTGAATGTTTGTCACTCTGTAGGATTCCAGAACACTGCAAAGAGGGTCTGAAAGTTTGTCCTTCACTGTGGATTCCAGAACACTCTGCTGTGGTCTGAATGTTTCTCCGTCACTTGGGATCCGAAACAGTGATACGAGCGTCGGAATGTTCATTCCTCACGTAGGATTCCAGAACACTGAACGACTGTCTGAAAGTTTGTCCATCACATAGGGTTGCAGAACACTGCTGCCAGATTCTCTGTGTTTGTCCCTCACATAGGATTCTGGAACACTGCTACAAGGGTCTGAATATTTGTCACACACATAGGATTCCAAAACACTGCTCCTAGGGTCTGAATGTTTGTCCCTCACAGAGGACTGCAGAACACTGCTGCTGTCGTCTGAATGTTTGCCCCCCACATAGGACTACAGAACACTGCTGCTGGGGTCTACATGTATGGCTGTCACATAGGATTTCAGATCACTGCTGCTGGATTCTGAGTGTTTCTCCCTTACATAGAATTCCAGAAAACTGCGACAAGGGTCTGAATGTTTCTCCGTAACGTAGCATTCCAGAACACTCTCGCTGTTGTTTGAATGTTTGTTCCTCACACAGGATTCCAGAACACTGCTACTGGGGTCTGAGTGTTTGTCACTCACATAGGATTCCAGAACACTCCTGCTGTAGTCTGAATGTCTGTACCTCACATAGGGTTGCAGAACACTGCTGCTAGATTCTCAGTGTCTGTCCCTCACATAGGATTCCGGAACACTGCTACAAGGGTCTGAATATTTGTCACACACATAGGATTCCAAAACACTGCTGCTAGGGTCTGAATGTTTGTCCCTCACATAGGATTCCAGAACACTGCTGCTGGGGTCTACATGTATGGCCGTCACACAGGATTCCAGATCACTGCTGCTGGGTTGTGAATGTTTCTCCCTCACATAGAATTCCAGAATACTGCTAAGAGGGTCTGAATGTTTCTCCATAACGTAACATTCCAGAACACTCTCGCTATTGTTTGAATGTTTGTCCCTCACATAGGATTCCAGAACACTGCTACTGGGGTCTGAATGTTCCTCACATAGGATTCCAGAACACTGCTACGATTATCTGAATGTTTGTCCCTCACATAGGATTCCAGAAAAATCCTACGAGGGTCTGGGTGTTTGTCCCTCACAGAGGATTCCAGAATACTGCTATGATTGTCTGAATGTTTGTCACTCACATAGGATTCCAGATCAGTGCTACGAGGGTCTGAATGTGTTTCCCTAACATAGGATTCCTGAATACTGCAACGAGGGTCTGAATGTTTGTCTGTAACATAGGATTATGGAACACTACCCCTGTTGTTTGACTGTTTGACACTCACATTGGATTCCAGAACACTGCAACTAGGGTCTGAATGTTTGTCCCTCACATAGGATTCCAAAACACTCCTGCCATGCTCTGAGTGTTTATCCCTTACACAGGATTCCAGAACAATCCTGCTGTGGTCTGAAAGTTGTTCCCTCACATAGGGTTCCAGAACACTGCTGCTGGGTTCTGAGTGTTTTTTCCTCACATAGGATTTCATAACACTACCGGAAGGGTCTGAATGTTTGTCCCTCACATAGCATTCCAGAACACTGCTGTTGGGGTCTAAGTGTTTGTCCGTCACATAGGATTCCAGAACACTGCCACGAGGTTCTGAATGTTTGTTCCTTACAGGGGATTCCAGAACAATCCTGTTGTGTTGTCAATGTTTGTCCCTCACACAGGATTCCAGAACACTGCTATGAGGATCTGAATTTTTGTCCCTCACACAGAATTCCAGAACACTGCTATGAGGGTCTGAATGATTTTCCCTCACATAGCATTCCAGACACCGCTGCTGAGGTCTGAATGTTTGTCCCTCACATAGGATTACAGAACCCTGCCCCTGGGTTCTGAGTGTTTCTCCCTCACATAGAATTACAGAACACTGTGACGAGGGTCTGAATGATTGTACCTCACACAGGATTCCAGAACACTCCTATGAGGGTCTGAATGTTTGTTCCTCACATACGATTCCAGAACACTGCTATGAGGGTCTGAAGGTTTGATTCTCACACAGAATTCCTGCACACTGCTACGAGGGTCTGAATGATTGTCCCTCCCATAGGATTGCAGAACACTGATGCTGGGGTCTGAATGTTTTTCCTTCCCATAGGATTCCAGAACGCTACTGCTGGGTCTACATGTATGTCAGTCACATAGGATTCCAGAACACTACTGCTGGGTTCTGAGTGTTTCTCCCTCATATAGATTTGCAGAAGACTGCGACGGGGGTCTAATGTTTGTCCGTAACATAGGATTCCAGAACACTCCAGCTGTTGTTAGAATGTTTTTCTCTCACGTAGGATTGCAGAATACTGCTTCTTGGGTCTGAATGTTTGTCTCTCACACAGAATTCCAGAACACTGCTACGATGGTCTGAATGCTTATTCCTCATATAGGATTCCAGAACACTGCTGTGAGGGTCTGCATGTTTGTCCCTCAGATAGGATTCCTGAACAATCCTGCAGTGGTCTGAATGTTTGTCCCTCACAGGGGATTCCAGAACAAACCAGCCGTGGTCTGAATGTTTGTTACTCACTTAAGTTTCCAGAACACTGCTCCTGGGTTCTGAATGTTTGTCCCACTCAAAGAATTCCAGAACACTGCTACGATTGTTTATCCCTCATATAGGATTCCAGTACACTGCAATGAGGGTCTGGATGATTGTGCCTCACATAAGATTACAGAACACTGCTGCTGGGGTCTAAATTTTTGTTCTTCACATAGAATTGCAGAACACTAATAAGAGAGTATGAACACTTGTTCCTCAAAGGGGATTCCAGATCACTCCTGATGTAGTCTCAATGTTTGTCCCTCACACAGGTTTCCAGAACACTGCTACGAGGGTTTGAACGTTTGTCCCTCAAACAGAATTCCAGAACACTGCTACGAGTTTCTGAATGATTGTCCCTCACATAGGATTCCAGAACACTGCTGCTGGGGTCTACATGTATGTCCATCACACCGGATTCCAGAACACTTCTGCTGGATTCTGAGTGTTTGTCCCTCACATAGAATTCCAGAACACTGCAACGAGAGTCTGAACGTTTGTCCGTAACATAGGATTCCAGAACACTGCTACGACTCTTTGAAAGTTTTTCCCTCACATAGGATTCCCCAACACTGCTACGAGGGTTTGAATGTTTTTCCCTCACATAGGATTCCAGAACACTGCTGCTGGGGTCTGAATGTTTGTCCCTCACATAGGATTCCAGAACACTGCTACGAGGGTCTGAATATTTGTGTCTCACATAACATTGCAAAACACTCCAGCTGTGTTCTGAGTGTTTGTCCCTCACATAGGATTCCATAACAATCCTGCTGTGATCTGAATGTTTGTTCCTCACATAGGGTACCAGAACACTGCTGCTGTGTTCTGAGTGTTTGTCTCTCACTTAGGATTCCAGAACACTGCTAAGAGGTTCTGAATGTTTGTCCCTCACACAGGACTCCAGAACACTGCTTCTGGGGTCTAAATATTTGTCAGTCACATCTGATTCCACTACACTGCTACAAGGTCCTGAATGTTTGTTCCTCATAGCGGATTCCAGAACAGTCCTGCTGTGGCCAGAATGTTTGTCCCTCACACAGAATTCCAGAACACTGCTACAAGGGTCTGAATGATTGTCCCTCACATAGGATTCCAGAACACTTCTTCTGGGGTCTATATGTATGTCCGTCACATAGGATTCCAGAACACTGCTGCTGGGTTATAAGTGTTTCTCCCTCACATGGAATTCCAGAACACTGTGATAAGGGTCTGAATGTTTGTCCATAACATAGGATTCAAGAACACTACCGCTGGTGTCTGGTTGTTTGTCCCACACATAGTATTCCGGGACACTGCTACGATTGTCTGAATGTTTGTCACTCACATAGGATTCCAGAACACTTCTTTGAGGGTCTGAATCTTTGTCCCTCACATAGGATTCCAGAACACTGCTGCTGGTGTCTGAATGTTTGTCCCACACATAGTATCCCAGAACACTGCTACGATTGTCTGAATGTTTGTCGCTCACGTAGGATTCCAGAACAATACTATGAGGGTCTGAATGTTTGTCCCTCAAATGGAATTAAAGAACACTGCTACAATTGTCTGAATGTTTGTTCTTCACATAGGATTCCAGAACACTGCTTCTGGGGTCTACATGTATGCCCGTCACATAGGATTCCAGAACACTGTTGCCGGGTTCTGAGTGTTTGTCACTCACATAGAATTCCAGAACACTGCGACGAGGGTCTTAATGTTTGTCCCTAACATGGGATTCCAGAACACTCCCACAGCTGTTTGAATGTTTGTCCCTCATATAGGATTCCAGAACACTGCTGCTTGGGTCAGAAAGTTTGTCCCTCACGCAGGACTGCAGAACACCCCTGTTGTGGGCTTAATGTTTGTACCTCACATGGGATTCCAGAACACTGCCACAAGGGTCTGATTGTTTTTCCCTCTCGTAGGATTCCAAAACACTCCTGCTATGTTCTCAGTGTTCCTTCCTCACATAGGATTCCAGAACACTGCTGCTGGGGTCTGAATGTTTGCCCCTCAAGTAGGATTCCACAACACTGCTACGATTGTCTGAATGTTTGTCCCTCACATAGGATCCCAGAACACTGCTGCTGGGGTCTACATGTATGTCCGTAACATACGATTCCAAGACACTGTTGCTGGATTCTGAGTGTTTCTCCCTTACGTAGATTTCCAGAAAACAGGGACGAGGCGCTGAATGTTTGTCTATAACAGAGGATTTCAGAACACTCTCGCTGTTGTTTGAAAGTTTGTCCCTCCCTAAGGGGGACAAACTTTGTGTCTCTATTTCCTTCAGTTCTGCTCTGATTTTAGTTATTTCTTGCCTTCTGCTAGCTTTTGAATGTGTTTGCTCTTGATTCTCTAGTTCTTTTAATTGTGATGTTAGGGTGTCAATTTTGGATCTTTCCTGCATTCTCTTGTGGGCATTCAGTTTTATAAATTTCCCTCTACACACTGCTTTAAATGTGTCTCAGAGATTCTGGTATGTTGTGTCTTTGTTCTCATTGGTTTCAAAGAACATCTTTATTTCTGCCTTCATTTCGTTATGTACCCAGTAGTCATTCAGGAGCAGGTTTTTCAATTTCCATGTAGTTGAGCGGTTTTGAGGGAGTTTCTTAATCCTGAGTTCTAGTTTGATTGCACTGTGGTCTGAGAGACAGTTTGCTATAATTTCTGTTCTTTTACATTTGCTGAGGAGAGCTTTACTTCCAACTATGTGGTCAATTTTGGAATAGGTGTGGTGTGGTGCTGAAAAAAATGTATATTCTGTTGATTTGGGGTGGAGAGTTCTGTAGATGTCTATTATGTCTGCTTGGTGCAGAGCTGAGTTCAATTCCTGGGTATCCTTGCTAATTTTCTGTCTCTTTGATCTGTCCAGTGTTGACAGTGGGGTATTAAAGTCTCCCATTATTATTGTGTGGGAGTCTAACTCTCTTTGTAGGTCAGTCAGGACTTGCTTTATGAATCCGGGTGCTCCTGTATTGGATGCATATATGTTTAGGATAGTTAGCTCTTCTTGTTGAATTGATCCCTTTACCATTATGTAATGGCCTTCTTTGTCTCTTTTTATCTTTGTTGGTTTAAAGTCTGTTTTATCAGAGACTAGGATTGCAAACCCTGCCTTTTTTTGTTTTCCATTTTCCTGGTAGATCTTCCTCCATCCCTTTATTATGAGCCTAAACCCTAGAAGGAAACCTAGGCAATACCATTCAGGACATAGGCATGGGCAAGGACTTCATGTCTAAAACACCAAAAGCAATGGCAACAAAAACCAAAATTGACAAATGGGACCTAATTAAACTAAAGAGCTTCTGCACAGCAAAAGAAACTACCATCAGACTGAACAGGCAACCTATAAAATGGGAGAAAATTTTTGCAACCTACTCATCTGACAAAGGGCTAATATCCAGAATCTACAATGAACTCAAACAAATTTACAAGAAAAAAACAAACAACCCCATCAAAAAGTGGACAAAGGATATGAACAGACACTTCTCAAAAGAAGACATTTATGCAGCCAAAAGACACATGAAAGGATGCTCATCATCACTGGCCATCAGAGAAATGCAAATCAAAACCACAATGAGATACCATCTCACACCAGTTAGAATGGCAATCATTAAAAAGTCAGGAAACAACAGGTGCTGGGGAGGATGTGGAGAAATAGGAACACTTTTACACTGTTGGTGGGACTGTAAACTAGTTCAACCATTGTGGAAGTCACTGTGGTGATTCCTCAAGGATCTAGAACTAGAAATACCATTTGACCCAGCCATCCCATTACTGGGTATATACCCAAAGGTTTATAAATCATGCTGCTATAAAGACACATGCACACGTATGTTTATTGTGGCACTATTCACAATAGCAAAGACTTGGAACCAACCCAAATGTCCAACAATGATAGACTGGATTAAGAAAATGTGGCACATATACACCACTGAATACTATGTAGCCATAAAAAATGATGAGTTCATGTCCTTTGTAGGGACATGGATGAAACTGGAAACCATCATTCTCAGCAAACTATCGCAAGAACAGAAAACCAAACACCACATGTTCTCACTCATAGGTGGGAATTGAACAATGAGAAAACATGGACACAGGAAGGGGAACATCACACACCAGGGACTGTTGTGGGTTGGGGGAAGGGGGCAGGGATAGCATTAGGAGATATAGCTAATGCTAAATGACGAGTTAATGGGTGCAGCACACCAACATGGCACATGTATACATATGTAACAAACCTTCACGTTGTGCACATGTACCCTAAAACTTAAAGTATAATAATAATAAAATAAAATAAAATAAAAATAAAAAAGAGAGGAAGTAAGCCATCCTGATTCCTGATGAGAAAGCATTCCAGGCAAAGGGGACCACACATGCAAAGGCCCTGAGGCAGAAGCACATCTGTCTGGTGTCTTTGAAGATTGCAATAATACAGGAGAGACTGATTGGACTAGACATCAGAGAAGTGTCAGGGGACAAGATGGTTTAAAACATTCCTAGCCATGGAAGGTTTTAAGCAGATGAAAACATTATTTTCCTTATGCTTTAAAAAGACTTACTCTGGATCACCTGAGGTCAGGAGTTCGAGACCTGCCTGGCCAACATGGCAAAACCTCATCTCTATTAAAAACACAAAAAATTAGCCAGGCTTGGTGGTGCATGCCTGTAATCCCAGCTACTTGGGAGGCTGAGGCAGGAGAATCACTTGAACCCAGGAGGTAGAGGTTGTAGTCAACCCAGATTGCACCACTGCACTCCAGCCTGGGCGACAGAGGAGACTCTGTCTCAAAAAAAAAAATAAAAAATAAAATAAAGACTTACTCTGGTGCTCAGTGAAGAACAAAGTACAAGGAGAAAGAGAAAGTGGGAAAGGAGTTAGGAGGCTATTTTGGTAATCCATGAAAGCAATGACGTAAAGTGAAGCAGGTTGTACACAATGGGTGTGGCAAGGGAAGCTCAGATTCTTAATACAGTTCAACAGTGTATGCTGATACGAGGTGCAAGAAACAAAGTGGGGTCAAGGCAAGTTTACTGTCCTAACGGCTGGTACGCTGGAGGTGCTATTTACTGAGACGGAGACGACTGAGGAGTGTTGGGCCCAGGGGTTGAAGGTGAAGGATCAAGAATCCCTTTATGGATGTGTGATAGTTGAGTTGTCTGTTAGTCTTCCAAGTGGTGATAATTGGTAGATAATTAGATATGAGTCTAAATTTTAGAGGAGAGGTAGGAGCTGGAAATATGTGTTCATGGACCATGCACATATACATAGAATTTAATGCTATTGGGCTTCATGAGATCATAGAGGCATGAGTGCACCTAGAAAAACGGTTGAGAACTGAGACCTGGGATACTCCCTTGTTAAAAGGTAAATGTTCCTTCTACATTTTGAATTTATAGAAATAATGACACAGTAGCCAGTTGCTGAAACACTACCCAGTTCAGAGTAACAAAATTTCTATTTTATCAAATGATTGAATGCCATTTAAAATTCAGAATACTTGCAGTGATCCCAAATATCTTCATGAAGATGAAAGCCTAAGTTTACATTGGTGGCCTAAACTCTGCCTTCCTGATTGTCTATTTAAAAATAACAATAATGATAATAATAAGAAATATTCATGGATCACTAGATATGTTGAAATACACTCAAAGGTAGATTCATTTCTGTTCTACTATACCCTTGTAACTATCAGTCTATAAAATAGTTTTATTAGAAAGACACAGTCACCCTCAAGCCAATAGCAGCTTATAAATACGGGGCAAGGAGCCTGGTGTGGGGAGGCTGAGAAATAATTGAGAAAACCAGTAGATATGAAGCTAACAAATAACACTGTCGACCAGAATGAGGCAGATAAGCCAGAGGCAATTCAAGTGGCCGGTCAAGACAGGTAGACAGACAGAAGCCAGGAGTGAGAGACGGGAGGTCCAAAGTACAATAAAACACTCAAGCACCAGTCAATCCATGGGAACTTACAGCGGGGGGGCGGATGAAGGGAGGAGCATCCAGGTAGAGGGGAAGGAATGGAGGTGTGAATGGGAGGCAGGAGGGCACAAGCTATTTGATATGTTTGGAGAGTGAGGTGTTTTTTTGAGGCTGAGAAAATAACTGGAAGCCAGAATCTGGAGGACTGGGTAGACCATGTTAAACAGCAAGCATTTGATTCTGCACGTGTTGGACGCCAGTGCAGGGCTTCTAAGCAAGGCAGTGACATGATCACGTCACATTTTAGGAAGGATATAAATTAGGCATGGCCACAGGCAGGAAGACCTGAGGGATCTCATACAGTCAGGGATAAGAGTCTAAACGACAAGGTGGCCATGAACATTCAAAGAAAGAAGACTGAAGAGACCTTAGAGGGCAGTCCCCATGGGACCTCAGTGAAGGGGTTTGGGAGACTCACAGCTTTCTGCTGTGAAGTCAAAGATATCACAAACTATCAGAATAAAAGAAACAGTCCTATGGCTGGGGGTAAGTGGATGAATGTGGTTCCATTTTGAACAAGAGGAGAAAATTCAGGTAATTCATTTGGATTGACAAAGCAAAAGAATTTGAAGCTGAACATTATAGAAGCAAAAACAATTCTTATGATAATGGGGTATAGGAAACACGCCAAAGAAAGCACAGTATTTCTTGTTTCTCTTCTGATTCAATAAATAATATTTTCTGTTAAGGATTTTGATAACTTGTTTTAATTAATCAAAAGGAGACAAGACAAATTTGAACTTAAAAGAATAAGAAAAGCAGTTGTCTTTTTAGAAAAGGTGAGTCAGTATTTCCTATGGTCTTAAATCATCCTTCAAATAATGGGCTATGAAACAAATGAGATCCTACTTATCTAGCCTTTTCCTGGATAGATTAAAAACTGTATCAAAATCTTACTATATTGCAAAGACACTAATTCACTCAATTGAGAATCCACAGTATACAAACATATAAATCAAGGGAATTTTAAAACCAATCATTGTGTTCAAAATGGGAAGATTATTCAAAATTTTTTCTACATATTTTAGAATAATTTAACAGTTAAAAACCCTGTACTTTATAAAAACATTATCCAGTATTTAATAAAGTGTATCTATAACAATGTCAACATTGGAATTTAACAGTTTACAAAGCACTTTTGATACATCACATTTAAATGAAGGTAGCAATGAGTTCAGTACATTCATGTAGATTAGAAAACAGTAGTTTTTGAAGATTGCATTTGTTCATGTATGTCAGAAGGTTTGAACTATTTCCTACCCCTGTGATAGGTTTAAGCCTAAGAATTGTTATTCATTATGATTTGGTCTTTAAATAAATCACGAAGGTAGAGAGTAGAGCACACCCCATGAATGCACTGAGGTGCTGTAAGTCTCCAACGCCAGAGGCAGCAGGTTGCAATTTAGTTCAATCACGCATTTGTTATGAGAACTCTGACAAGCTTCATCTCTAATGTAAGCTTGGAAACACAAAGAAACTCTGCAAAAAATACTAAACACAGACACACACACACTCCGCTCTTTTAAGACTGGCATAGAAGATGTAAGTGTACCAACAAGCAACCTCCAAAGAGCAAATGAAACAGAAAATTCAAACGAGTGCCTGGTAGGAGTTGTAACTTCAACAAAGTGCCTCTCATATCTGCCTCATAAACCCGTACACATTTTTCACAACTAACTCAAATAGCACCTCCTCAGTGACACCTTTCTTGTTCTGCCCACCAGATATACCTGCAGACCTAGTGTATCCTCTCGCCCAGAACACAGGACATCTTATACAGGGGGCTCTATCTACAGGGGGCTCTATGCTTTGACAGGAACTGTGAACCTATGGGCAGCGGATTTTCAATTCATGTTTATAGCTCTCATTACAAATGTCCTGCCTCAGGCACCCAGCAGGTGGTAATAAATGCTGGTTGAACACTAAAACCTTGGAATGCTACATCATTATTCTTAAGGATAGTCATATTTTAAAACATTTGGAAGTTCTTTTGAAACTGACTTTTTAGATTATGAAAATATCTCAGTGATTGGTTTTGGTTTTCCAAGTTAGACCTTATTTTATTTTAGAAACTTTCAAAGTTGTACAAAACCAAGCATGTGTCTCTGTACATTTTGTTTTATCTCCTACCTTAATGCTAAGGAAGGGTTTCTTCTCTTTTATAGGCCAAATGCTCCACAAATGAATGTGTTAACGAAAGAACAAATTAATAAATGACATGAATGAAAGCTCAAACTGCATAAAAATATATTTACTTGAAAATGAGAGGTGACGATTGCTAACATGTCATAATCATACTCTGCCCTGACCTCGGCAAGCCACAACTTTGACAATAAAGAGGAAAGAGGATCCAGTCCCTAAATACCGCAGGTTCACTAAGACCTTCCCACGTGCCCGAAGAAGATACACTTGCAGAGGAGAAATGATGATGCAGAGGCCTGCTCCGAGATGCAGGAGGAAGTTTAATTTCCTGTGAATTTGACTGGGATGGAAGGGATGAAACGAGGTTTGAAAGGAAATAGAGATTGTTAAATTCCTGACTAGGCGATAACTGCCGTCCTTCTCTTCTATCTGCCCCTGTGATTAGGTGATAACTGCCCTCCTTCTCTTCTATCTGCCCCTGTGACTAGGCGATAACTGCCCTCCTTCTCTCCTATCTGCCCCTACCTTGGGCCCCAAATGACTCAGCACTAAAGTGCCTTAAGCAGGCTCCAGCCCAAAAGTGGCCTCCATGGGCACCACTTCCTGCTCTGCTGCGCTGCCTCGCTTTCCTCCTCGGCCTTCCCGGATGGATGACAGATGTCATTCCCAGGTTCCCTAACACTCAAGTCTAGTCCCTCAGTTTCTAGCAAGCATCAAGCTTCACTGTGTGTCTAGCTTCTCAGGAGTCAGACCTCAGAAGTAAAGCTTGGTGTAAATTCAGAGGCAGGGAAGAAAGAAGGAAGGAAAGAAGACCCTGAGCTGAGTTCATACACATCATCGCAATTCATCCACACCGCAGTCCTGTGAGTTATGTGCCATTGTACTCAGAAAACTGAGGCTCAAAGAGATTGAGCAACTTATCTAAGACCTCACAGGTCCTGAGAGCAGAGCCTGGATTTCAAACACCTGGGAGACTCTGAAATCCATGTTAACTCTTCTATACATGAGCCCAAAATGCAGCTGTACACCAGCAAGACTGACTTCCTCTTGCGGCTTATCACTAGCTCTGAATACAAGAATCCTCAAAATGCTTTATAAGCAACAGTAGCATCATGGGAATAAGTTGACAAGTTCCCAGCATTACTGCTTTAGATGCACTTGAACTTTTTCTCCATGTATAGAGTCAAGAATAAGGAAAAAGGATCCAAAGGAGAAGGAGAGAAATAAAACGGGACTGAGCCTTATACTTCTTGACCAGAACAGATAATGTTGGGATTTTCCTTACTTTTTTTCCAGACAAATACAATAAAGACGTCTGTTTCTGTTACCTAAAACCAACTTGAAAAGTTTGCTCCCTCCCACCTTAAGCGGCTTTGTATAGAGCCCACAGTAGAACATTGGTTCCTACGGCAAACATTCATTTCAAAATTTTTATAGTATTATTCAAAGCACGTTTGATTTCAGCCTTGGCAACCATGGGCAGAATGTCAGCAATGCTCCCCATATTAGCTATTGGAGAGAAAACACTGTGAAACTCTAAGACCTTGGTTATTGGGCCAATGAAACATTTATGCCCTGATCAGATGGAGCAAACCTTCGGCAGGGTTAATGAGCCACCTTCCGAGTGTACCAATGAAGCTCTTGCCTGCTGTTTCAGATAAATGACTCTCATTTCACTGTTGGCTTGTGCTTGAGAAGGTTATTCAATTGATTCCGGTTGTTTGCAATGCCTTGAAGGCAAATAATGTTGTAGCATCCACTGTCCTCATAACACACTGTTTCTTTTCTAAGGAAGGTTGTTGTCATAATACCCTAGATATCAATAGAAAATATTCCACTTCTTATCATGTATTAATTTTGCTCTGGAATAAGTAAATGTAACTACCAGAATGCTAATGAGGATGTTACACTGATGTTTGTGTGTTCTAATCTGTAGATAAACAGCAAGGTCTTTTTTAATTCATGATTCCAAGTCTCAGGCCACAGCAGGACAAGTATCAAAACATCTATTCTCAATTCGGAGTTGAGATTTCTAACAAGAATTCTATTTTCTCCATAATCATAAAATAGCACCAGGAAAAGTCAATATCTTAAAATACAGATCATTAAAGAGTAGATGTTTCTGCCTTTACATAAACAAACTATAAAATCTGAAGTTAAAATTATTCCTTGTACCTGCCTCCTAATTTACCCAGAGTTGACAGAAAAGTTATAGCAGTGCATGAAGCTCTGAGGTTTTGATGGGTGTAGATATAGACATCCAAACCTGTCATTTCACACTAGTCAGAATACGAGTCATAGAAATCCCACAGGAAAAATCATTTCTGGAGGTATCTGGTCTTATGGATTATAAAATTAAACTTTCTTATCATTGTACCTAAACCGAAATATGATATGATTCCTATACAAAGAAGGTTTCTTTCAAGAGTTAAGACCACCTCCCGCCATGCCCCTTAACACACACACACACACACACACACACACACACACACACAAAGAGAGAGAGAGAGAATTGAGAGCATTAGGGGTTTTCTCCTTTAGACTGATTTTTTCTTATTGTTATTTTCAGCCACTTTGTTAACGGTGGGGTTAAAGGGCAGGATAGATGTAACACCCATTTCACATACATGTTGCAACATCAGAGATGCTGGTTTTCATTAAAAACACCAGTTCTAAATTCCTTCTAAAATATATTTTTAGAAATCAGTACACTTGGCACCTTGGAAATGCTGAAATGTTATCATGAATGCTGGTTATTTGTTATGAGTCAACTGAATATTATCTTCAATATAAACTATAATTTACTGGTCTGAACACTCTTCCTATCTTACCTGTATATACTCAAAGGGAGCAATTTCTCATGTTTAGCAAATTGTTCTTTAGGTTTTTTGTACAAAAGTTCAAAATAGTTATCACAGCAAACCTTCCAGTATTTTCTATTTTAAAGCTATATATTTTGGAGTGAACTTGGTTTTCTTTTTTTTCTTTTCTTTTTTTTTTTTTTTTGCCATGTCAGGCTTGAGCAGGATAGCAAATATATAAATTGAGTTCTCTAATTATAATCTCAATATATGAATTCTTGCTAATTAAAATACTTTGCACCAGCAAAAACAATTGCCACGTATGTGTTTAGGAGGTAGTTAAGTAACTCCATATAAAAATAATTGCACTTTCCCCTCCTTCCTTCAGTGACTAGAAAACTTCCATACTTTTAAAATAATCAAATAATAATTTAGAGAGCAACAGCCCTCAACTCTTTGCTGGTGCTTATCACACTGCCTTTCTTCACTCCATTCTTAGCTCTGCTAGTTTCTTCTTGTCTGTGATGATAATAAGGGAATGTGGGTGGGTCAGCACTTCTGTGTAGGTCCCCTTTTCAAATTTGCCTTCCAAAAAGCCAACCAAATAAACAACCAAAAAATTGTGCAACAAAACACAAATAGCATTCCAACAGCTTGGCAAGTGATGGATTCACCTGAGATTAAGTGGTTTTAGGTGGTCAGTAGCAAAATGCTGCTTTGCTGTCTTAGTAGAAAGGCAACAAATTCTTCAAAGAAACCAAGAAGGTCACAACCTTGACAAAGTCTCTCATTACCTTCCTCCTCTTATGTCTTTTCTCTCCACATTATCTGTTGTGTATCTACTATAGAAGGCTGCAAAACATACAGCAGAAAGGATGGCTTGAAGGCAATTGATGTTTGTAAATAAATCCACAACAGGATCAAAGCTGAAGAGGTGAACACATCAACCGGGTGGGACAATTCTCAGCATGTGCAAACATAGGCAAATTCTAGACTATGTTACATTAAAAACAATGTCAGTGCATTTTTCATGTTAAAGATTTTTTCAAAGCTAAAGCTTTTTCTTTGCTGTGCTGACCACAAACAAATTTTAAGAGTTTCAAAAGTCTGGCAAAAATAGAAAAAAAAAAAAGCTGAAGCAACATTTAACTGCACAATGTAAGCACTGGGCATGAACAAATTTTCAAAACAAAGGAAGGAAATCATCCCTCTCTACAACGTGGTTAGGCTGATTTTTAAGAAATAAAATGTAAGAAATCAGAAAAGCAAATGTTTGGCACCTACATATCCAATATCTGGCACCGTGCAGAGTAGAAGAGTGAAAGAAATAATGAAGAACAAAGTGGTTACTTTGCTTCAGGAGTTCGTGATCTATAGTTAGAAACCAATATAAACATTTTGAGTATATTTCAAAGAAAGAGCAAAAGCAGGCCGGGTGTTGTGGCTTGCACCTGTAGTAATAACACTTTGGGAGGCTGAGGTGGGAAGATTGCTTGAGCTCATGGGTTTGATACCAGCCTGAGAAATATAGTAAAACCTCATCTCTATGAAAAAATTAATTTAAAAAAAGGCAGAGCAAAAACAAATATGAAAGAAAACATTAGAAATCAGAGCTTGGGAAAAGAGTTCAACGTGAGCAAAGCAGCTCTGCCCTGGGGGACCTCTGGAGCATCCCGGCTTCCTGTAGAGGCCCCACCACATGGCCCTATCCCATCACTGGGAACTGTCTTCTGTATCATGCCAGAATTTTCGCCCAAACTTCTCAACCTAATTTATTCAGCCAAAACATATATATTTCTTGAATCCTTACTAAGAGCAAGGCACTGTTCAACATAATGAAAATATGTCAATGATATGAAACAAAAATGTTTACCGTCATGCAAATTACATTCCAGTGAGAAAAGACAGATCATTAATAAAATAAATATGTAAAATATATAATATGCCAGAAGGTAATAAGTGGCACAGAGAAAAATTAAGTGTGGAAGGGAGCTCAGGAATGCCGGAAGCGGGTAGATGTGAAGGTAGTTAGAATGCTCAAGGAGGGAGTAATAGGCAGAAGAATGGCCTTTCTACATGTCCATATCCCTATATGGCAAAAATGACTTGTGGATGTGATGAAGTTATGGATCATGAGATGAGGAGATTATTCTGGATTACCCAGGTTTGCCCAATGTCATCACAAGAGTACTTAAAAGCAAAAGTGAGAGGCAGGAGAGTCTGAGGTAAGAAGCGTGACAGCTAGGGTCAGGACGATGTGGTTGCTGCCTTGAAGGGGGCCAGGGGCCAAGGGATTCAGGCATCCTTTCAAAGCTGGAGAAGGTAAGAAAGTGTTCTCTCTCCCCTAGAGAGAGTGTGTGTTCTCTTAGGTTACTAGAATTGTGCTAATTTCTTCCAGCAGTCATAGAAAACTTATATAGAAGGTCTCACTGAGAAGATAACATTTGAACAAGGATTCCAAGGAGGTGAGCGCACCAGCTATGCAGATATCTGGGGAGGAGCACTCAAGGAAGAAAAGGCAGGCAAACAGCAGGGTGTCTAGCCCATGTGCATGAAGTAGAGAACACTGGGAGTCAGAAGGCTAACAGGAGACAGGTCAGAGAGACGGACTGGGGTGGGTCAGCTCACACTCAGCCTCACTGGCTACTGTAAGAACTTCGAGTTATTCTGAGACACTGAGTATAGGAGAGTCTATGAATATTTATAGAAATTCTGAACCTTTACAAGATGAATAAAAGTTGTATGCTAGTAAACCTATTGTTTGGGTGGGGAGCAGCCCAGATTAATAGCATTTGCTGATTTCAATTGTGTAAATATTTCTACTGATGGTTTGACAAACACTTCATAAAATTTCTGGGTACTTAATTATCAGATTCAGTAGAGCGCTGCATGTATGACACCCCATTTGCCAATTCCACTCTATGTTCTATTGGGAACAAGCTGTATGAGAGTCAACTGGTGGCAGAAATAAGGAGGTCCTCAATAAAAATCAGCATTTACTTTTGACAGATGTGAGATTCTGGAACTTATTTCTCTTTACTTGCTCTGCCTGGTGATTAAATTATGATTTTAAAAGAAATAGCTTTAATTTCTTATCAGAATGCTGCCACCAAATAAATAAAATACATACTTTAACTATATGCAATCCTGTCTATATTATACTGTTGTCAACAGAAACATTATCAAGGGCCAACTTCATGAAAGGAGATATGTGATAGAAGATGGAGTTGTTGGAATGAAAAAAAAAAAAGTCAAATTTTACTTTAGATTAATCAGAGGTAAGAAAGCAGACAGATAGGAAAGGAAAGACAGGCTTAGCCAAGTTGAAGAAAGAGGCTGAACTCAGGAGGCAGTGGGAGAATAGGATCATAGTTTGAAGAGAGCTGCGAGGCTGTTTAGTCCAGGTGAGGATCATAATCCCAGAAGACCCAGTCACAAACACCATAACCCTGAATGTTGAAATCCTGAAAGATCAAATTTCTTAAGGACTAAATTCTCTTTTTTTAAATAGAAACAGAGTGAATTGGTTCATTCTCATGCTCCCAATAAAGACATACACGAACCTGGGTAATTTATAAAAGAAAGAGGTTTAATTGACTCAGTTCAGCATGGCTGGGAAGGCTTCAGAAAACTTACAATCATGGTGAATGCAAACAAGAACCAAGGCACCTTCTTCACAAGGCAGCAGGAGGTGCTGAGCAAAAGGGGAAAGGCCCCTTATAAAACTTTCAGGTATCGCTCACTGTCATGAGAACAGCACGGGGATAACCACCCCCTTGATTCAATTACCTCCAACTGGGTTCCTCCCACAACATGTAGTGATTATGGAAACTAAAATTCAAGGTGAGATTTGGGTGGGGACACAGCCAAACCATATCATTCAGCCCCCAGCCCCTTCCAAATCTCATGTCCTTACATTTTAAAACATGATCATGCTTTTCTAACAGTCCGCCAAAGGCTTAGCTCATTCAAGCAAGAGATGGGCTGTCATGGCCTTGGACAGCTCCACCCCTGTTGATTTGCAGGGTACAGCCCTCCTTCTGACTGCTTTCACAGGCTGGTGCTGAGTGTCTGTGGCTTTTCCAGGCAACACAGTGCAAGCTGTCAGTGTATCTACCATTCTAGTGTCTGGAGGATGGTGGCCCTCTTCTCTCATCTCCAGTAGGCAGTGCCCCAGTGGGGACTGTGTGGGGGCTCTGACCCCACATTTCCCTTCTGCACTCACTGCCCTAGCAGAGGTCCATCATGAGGGCTCCATCCCCGTCACAAATTTGTGCCTGAACACCCAGGCGTCTCCACGCATCCTCTGAAATTTAGGCGTAGATTCCCAAACCTCAATTCTTGACTTCTGCACACCCACAGGCCCAACACCTCATGTAAGCTGCCAAGGCTTGGGGCTTGTACCCTCTGAAGCCATAGCCTGAGCTGTACATTGGCCCTTAAGCCATGATTGGGACACAGGGCACCAAGCCCTGAGACTGCACAGAGCTGCAAGTCCCTGCACCGGGCCCATGAAACCGTTTTTTCCTCCTAGGCCTCCTGGCCTATGATGGTTTGAGTAGCCGTGAAGGTCTCTGACATGCCCTGAAGACATTTTCCCATTGTCTTGGTGATTAATATTCAGCTCCTCGTTACTTATGCAAATTTCTGCAGCTGGCTTGAATTTCTCTCCAGAAAATGGGTTGTCCTTTTCTATCTCATCATCAAGCTGCAAAATTTTTAAAACTTTTATGCTTTGCTTCCTCTTGAACACTTTGCTACTTAGGAATTTATTCTGCCAGAGACCCTAAACCATGTCTCTCTAATTTAAAGTTCCACAGATTTCTCAGGCAGGGGCAAAATGCCGTCAGTCTCTTTGCATAGCAAGAGTCACCTTTACTCCAGTTCCCAACAAGTTCTTCATCGCCATATGAGGCCACCTCAGCCTGGTCTTCATTGTCCATGTCACTATCAGCATTTTCCTCAAAACAATTCTGCAAGTCTCTAAGAAGTTCCAAACTTCCTAACATTTTTCTGTCTTCTTCTGAACCCTGAAAACTGTTCAACCTCTGCCTGTTACCCAGTTCCAAATTCACTTCCACATTTTTAGGTATCCTTATAGCAATGCCCCACTACCTCAGTACCCATTTACTGCATCAGTCCATTCTCATGCTGCTAATAAAGACATAACCAAGCTTGGGTAATTTATAAAGGAAAGAGGTTTAATTGAATCACAGTTCATCATAGCTGGGGAGGCCTCAGGAAACTTACAAGCATGGTAGAATGCGAAGGGGAAGCAAGTCACCTTCTTCACGAGGTGGCAGGAAGGAGAAGCACAAGCAAAGGGGGAAAAGCTCCTTATAAAACCATCAGATCTTGTGAGAACTCAGTCACTATCATGAGAACAGCATGGGGGTAACTGCCTCCATGATTCAATTACCTCCCACTGGGTCCCCATCATGATATGTGAGTATCATGAGAACTAAAATTCAAGATGAGATTTGGTTGGAGACACAGCCAAGCCATATCATGGGGTCTAACTTTATTGCCCCGGCTGATTTCAAACTCCTGGGCTCAAGTGATCCTCCTGACTTGGCCTCCTAAAGTGCTGGGAATACAGGCATGAGCCACCATGCCCAGTCCTAAAGTCTAAATTCTTAACATCTAAAATCCAGAAAATCACAATCACAGGAGAGTTGTACCACGTTCTTTGCATCATGTTAGGTACAACTGTTGCTTTGTTTTCTTTTTATTTGGAAGTTATGTATGGTTTAAGGAGGTCCACATGGGTGCCAAATCTACAAGGGGTGGACTTGCAGACTTAATTTCAGGTGTCAACTTGACTGGATTAAGGAATCCCTGGAAAGCTGGGAAAGCATTATTTTGGGTATGTCTGTGATGGTTTTCTCAGAAGAGATCAGTGTGTGGGTCTGAGCAGACTAGGTGGGGAAGATCTGCTGTCACTGTTTTGAATGTCTTGAATATCACAGAAGAAGTGAAAATGAAAGTAAAAAATACAAAAAATCTTGTCTGCCAAATTATATAATCATGTACCAAGCATTTCTACATGTAGTACAATGCTTGCCTTCACAAAATGCCTTTTGTCAGATAATAAAAATAGTTGGACAAATTCAGTGGCCTTCTGAGCCAGACACTTCCTGGCACAGAGCTTCCTCAAGTGCTACAAGACATATTAAATCATGAACTATTCTTGATTAGGGATTTGACTGTCAAAAAAGATAAATTCACCACTAAGTGTAACATAACAAAACTGCTGCATGTTTCACTTTGGCTGATGAATGGCACTTTCAAAACTGTCCCCAGTGGGTTTTTTTAATCAACTTTATACAGTTTATGCCCCCATTGGATTACAAAATTCTTTAATTTAATCGGCATGTTTATGGTTTAATAACTGGAAAAAGTGAAGTACTTTATAAAAGCTTATTTGGAGGGCTTTGCAGAAGAAAATAGATTTCAATTGGAACCCCAAATTATAATGACAAGTTTTTAATTAGGTGTGATCAAGGTTTCTAAAAGTGAATTGCAGTAAATACCAGTAAATACCAGTAAAGTTTATATCTTCCATTCAGCCCAGCTCATTTGCCAGAAAATTCAGGTGAGTGGATTGGCCAGGCCATATGGCAATGATGAAAATTTTAGTTTAAAAATGTGTCATTTGTCTGTATTGGCATTCCTTCCACCTGATAAAATTCCAGGAGCTTTTGATAAATTAAAATCACAATTGCCTGAAGAAGCCAGAAACATTACATACTGGTTTGAAAATAATGATGTGCAAGGTTGGATAAGAAGTCATTTAGGCAACGGTGTTGCTGTTCAATCAAGAGTATTGTTTCTGCCAAATGAGTGGCCTGTATATGAGGGCCTGCAAAATGGATCTCCACATACTCAAAACGATAGACAAGAATGGCATAGAAGATTGGAAAATGTAATAGGAAATTCTCATGTCCGTGTGTATCAAATTATAGAAGAATTTCAAAAAGAGCAGTGCCACGTAGAAAATGAATGTGAATGTATTTTATGAGGACAGTCAAATCCTAAAAACAAAAAAGGCAACTATTCATTGTGATGCAAGACTTCAAAATATAGTTAATGATCATGAAAGTCAGCCAGCTATGATGAACTCTGCAACTGCCCATAATCTATCCATGTAATATACATTTTATATGTCAATTTTCTTTTTAGTTGTTTCTTTTTCCATTTTTTCCACTATTTTAAATTGTCAGCATTATTTTTTACAACTTGCTATGCTATGTATTTCATCTTAGTATCATTTCTAACACTGGAGGTATAAATTTTGCAAAGACTTTTAGAGAGTTCTAATTTGTTTTATGCATTTTTTTTTTGCAAATTTGATTCCACAAGAGTGCATTATCACAAGACTGACTTTGTGTGTAAGCATTGTACATGTACATAAAAACATTAAAGTTTCCTCAATAAATGAGAAGATATCCATTTTGCACATTTCCATTTGGGAAAGAGAAAATTCCTCAGGATCTCAGCTCTTTGACTGCATATTAGATGGTGACCCATCCCAGCTTTTGATGAATCTGGTCAAAAGAATTAGGTTGTCTGTCACAGTATTCCAGATGACCTAAGTTATAAAGTTGAGTGCACCCAGTTACCAACCATGCTTTTATACATTTTGCTTTTTGACCCATTTCTTTACAAATACAATTCATCTGCTCATCACCATTATACCCTTGAGACTATAGTTAGCATACCTGAGTTTTATGCTTGCAAATATATGTATGTTATTACTGTCTATTGATTGTGTAAAGTGGCCTAGGAAGCGTTCTGTTGTGTTTTTATACGTTTCTCAAATAAATTCCATCTTAAAAATATAAATAAATGCTTTTTTGTTGTTGTTTTTAGACAGAGTCTCACTCTGTCGCCCAGGCTGGAGTGCAGTGGTGCGATCGCGGCTCACTGTAACCTCCACCTCCTGGGTTCAAGTGATTCTCCTGCCTCAGCCTCCCGAGTAGCTGGGACTACAGGCACCCGTCAGGATGCCTGGCTAATTTTTTGTATTTTTAGTAACGATGGGGTTTCACCGTGTTAGCCAGGATGGTCTCCATCTCCTGACTTTGTGATCCACCTGCCTCGGCCTCCAAAAGTGCTGGGATTAAAGGCATGAGCCACCACGCGCTGCCCAATAAATGCTTTTTAAAGAATGTGTTAATAACTTTTTTCCAGAATTGTATTTTCAGAATTTTGTTTTTTTAGGATTGTAATTTTCAGGATTTTAGACTGTATAGATTTAGATCTTTTGGGACTTCAACATTTGGGATTATGACGTTCAGGATTGTGTCTTCCTGGGCTGTGGCCCAAACCCGTGTGGTCCAACACTATTTCACATGAGAGGAAAGCAAACCACGTGCACAGATGCAATGAAGGCTTAAATGGGTGTCATGTATAGATTATATCCCAGGAAAACATGATTAAGATGATACATAGCGACTTTTGTTTCCCAGTGTAAAAGACCCACATTCTTTTTCTTGTGTGGAATTAAACACAATTTCTGAATCAATGTAAGTGAATGCAAATCACCATGTTCACTTAGCTGATGCTCCTTTATTAACAGGGATAGAAGGGAGGTGATTCGAAGAGATGATGGCGTGGGACCTAGGACCTGAGGAAGCTGCAGTGGGTGAAGGGGAGAAACAGAGGAGCAGGGTCTGGAGAAAGAGTGGGGAGTCATCAACTACCCTCCTTCCTCCTGGAGTCTGGTGTTCGGAGCCCAGAGGTCTTCTCTAGGGCTTCAGAGAAGCTTCCAAGTCTGTTCATTTCTCTTTCCCCACCCCTGCTTGTATCACAAATAAAGAAATTATTGACAACTGAGTTCCTGACTAGGTGGCAGGATTTTAGGGACCCTTCACCTCGTCCGAATCTCATGAAGGTAGTGGGAGTTCCGTGGGTTAGTTAGCAATAGTCCTTGAGATTATTTGGTCATATAAATAATCAGAAAACTCATAGTCATCTTGCTTTTCTCATAATGCCCAGCTGGGAGATGGTGGGGGCAGAGAGGACTGGAGTGAGAAGACATAGAACCAGAGCTGGCTTTCATGTATGGGGCTCTCCAGAGCAATCAGGCCTAAGTACAACCAAGAGGGGTCTCGAAGCAGCTCTAGCGAGGGCAGCCCGGGCTCAGGCCCCAGCTCACACCAAGCACGTCACCTTTCTGACTGGGAAGCTTAAGCAATGTGTTTCTGTTTTTGTTTTTGTTTTCTGGTAAAGAATTCAATGCCATTAGCTACATTCACAATGCTATGCAATCATCACCACTATCCATTTCCGGAACATTCTATCATCCCAGACAGGAACTCTGTGCCCATTAGACACTAAACCCGCCCATTTCCACCTCCTGCCAGTCCTGAAAACCTCTATTCTACTTTGTGTCTCTATTAATTTGCCTGTTCCAGGTTCTTCATATAGATGGAATCACGTAGTCTGTGTTTGACGTCTCACTTAGCATAATATTTTTAAGTTTTATCTATGTGGTAGCAAGTATCAGAATTCCCTCCCTCTTTAAATATCACTAATATTCCATTTTATGTCTATGCCACATTTTGTTTATCCATCTATCCCTCAATAGACTTTTTAGGTTGTTTCCACTTTGTGGTTCCTGTAAATAAGGCTGCTGTGATGCTGCAATGAACACAGGTGTAGCAGGCAGGTGTGGTGGCATGCGCCTGTAGTTCCTGCTACTCAGGCATATGAGGCAGGAAGATCGCTTGAGCCCAGGAGTCCTGGGCTGCAGGGTGCTGTGTTGATCAGATGTCTGCACGAAATTAGACATTAGTACAGTGACCTCCTGGGATAAGGGACTACCAGGTTGCCTAAAGAGGGGAGAACCGGCCTGGGTTGGAGACAAAGCAGGGCACAACTCCAGTTTGACCAGCAGGGGGTCATGCCTGTGGACAGCCAAGCAGCAGGGAGATCGTGCCTGTGGACAGCCCCGCAACAGGGAGATCGTGCCTGTGGACAGCCCCGCAGCAGGGAGATCGTGCCTGTGGACAGCCCCTCAGCAGGGGGTCTTGCCTGTGGACAGCCCCGCAGCAGGGGTCCGTGCCTGTGGACAGCCCCGCAGCAGGGGGATCAAGCCTGTAAACAGCCCCGCAGCTGGAGGTCATGGCTGTGGACAGCCCCTCAGCAGGTGGTCGTGTCTGTGGACAGCCCCGCAGTAGGGAGGTCGTGCCTGTGGACAGCCCCGCAGCAGGAGTCCGTGCCTCTGGACAGCTCCGCAGCAGGGGGATCATGCCTATAAACAGCCCCGCAGGAGGGGGTCATGCCTGTGGACAGCCCCGCAGCAGGGGGTCGTGCCTATAAACATCCCCTGCACTCGGGCCTGGGAAACACAGTGAGACCCCATTTATTAAAAAGAAAAAAAAGGGGGGTGGGGAGAGAACACAGGTGTACAAGTATCTATTTGAGTAACTGCTTTCCATTCGTTTGAAGACAGATATAGGTAGATAAAGATATAGATATAGAGATTTATAGATGTGAGTGGGATTACTGAATCATATGGTAATTCTATGTCTAAATATTTGAGGAACTGTATGTTTTCCACAGCTGATGTACTATTTTTCATACCCAACCTCAATGCACAAGTGTTACAATTTTTCCACATCCTTGTCAGCACTTGTTATTTTCTGGGTGTTTTTGTTTTGTTTTGAGGCCGAGTTTCCTTCTGTCTCCAGGCTGGAGTGCAGTGGCGTGATCTCGGCTCACTGCAACCTCCGCCTCCCAGGTTCAAGCGATTCTCTTGCCTCAGTCTCTCAATTAGCTGAGATTACACATGTGTGCCACCATGCCCGACTAATTGTGTGTGTGTGTGTGTTGTTTTTTGTTTTGTTTATTTTTTTATTTTTTTGGTACAGATGAGGTTTCACCATGTTGACCAGGCTGCTGTCAAACTCCCAACCTCAGGTGATCCCAAAGGGCTGGGATTATAGGTGTGAACCAGCGTGCCTGGCACCTGATTTTTTTGTTTTTTATTTTTGATAGTAGCCATCCTAATGGGTGTGCAGTGTGTGTGTGTGTGTGTGTGTGTGTGTGTGTTTTAATGCCACATTGGTGATTCTAATGTGTAACCAGGAAAGAAAAGCATGGATTCTGGGTCTCAATTTTTCATCTAGGTAAACTGGAGCAAATACAACCTGTTGAAGTGTTCTCCTGATGATTGAATGAGTTCCGCCACAGAAGGCAAAATCTACAAATGTTGGTTCCTCTTTTATTCCCTTGGAATTCTACTAAACTTTCTGCCTCAACATACAGAGAAACTCCCTGAAGCCTAAAACTATGCAGATTTGACACAGGGCTGATTTTAACTTCTGTTTTGCTTTTACCATATAGCTAGCTGCAGATGTTACATGTGTCCTCCATGACATCTAAATAGCACTACACCTGCACCAGCTTTCCTCTCAAATTAACTACTCATCAGTTCTATTATTAAACAAACAAGGAACAGCTGTAATACTGAAGGAATGCGTGGGATCATGCTTTAGAATTACATCTCTGCCAACACTTTTAGTTTGCTTGTTGAATAACTACAAGTTTTCCAGTTAAATTAATAGAATACATTATACCCATAAAATCCTGAAATACTTGGCAATACACACAACAAAATATTTTACAAGTAGAGAATATAATAAATGTATGACACTTTAGAAATGCATTGAGATAAGTTTAAACAGTGTTTACTTTTAATTGGAGTGCTTTCTTTCATCTCACAGTAATAAGCTGTGGTTTAGTTTATCGGTTGAATACTCACTATGCAGTCCTTTGTAAAATTTTGGAGGTCCGCAGTAATGTGATTATTGCACTTCAACAGAATACACAGAAGGTCCCAGGAACCACAAACTAATCCATCCACTATGCAGTATCTAAAGTGTTTGCAAAAATAAAAACAAACAACAACAAAGAAACTGAACAACTGACTTGTAGCAAAGCTATCAGGTTAGTGCAAAAGTAATTGTGGTTTTGCCATTGAAAGTAATGAAAGTAATTGAAAGAATAGGTGTTCTAGCTGGACATTCTACAATGCATGCCACAACCATGGATCAATTATGTATTGAAAACCCAAACCAACTGAGGATCCCTGCCGTGCATTATTCCCATTGTGTCATAATGTGGCAAACTAAAACTAAGGACCTGTAACAAGGGATTTTCAGAGGGAAAGCAAACATATTGGTTAGAGCAAACAAAACTGGCAATTTTCAATTTGCTCAAGTCAAACTATTCACATCCTTTGTATGCTTCTCTACAAAATCCAGAACTTTTTGATAGGATCACCCTTAGGTAAAACTCTAAAGTGAGCAGCTTCTGATCAATAGGCCTCAACTCTTTTTCCCTTCTGTATCACAGACCGCGTGGGTGAATCCATCACATGACCTAATACGATTTGGCCAGTTGGGAAAGGTCTCTTTAAAGAACTAACACTCAGCCTGGGATCTAGAGCAAAGCACCATAAACTTGAATGTGCATATGAAACACCTGGGGACCTTGTCAACATGCAGATTCTGATTCATTGAATCTAGGGCGGTGCCTGAGCTCTAGCAAGCTCCCAGGGATGCCTATGTGACTGCCTTGGACATCAGTTACAGTAGCAAGAATATAAGCAGATACCAGCCAACAAAGCAGGAGTGAATGCATCACGGCCAAGGCAGCCCTGGACCAGGCCAGCTCAGGGATCTGAGAAAAGAGTAACTGTACTGAGGTCTATGAGTTCTTCCATGAGAGGTGAGGCTGAGAAGGTGGACAAGATCTAGGTCAATGTGTTAAGTTCCTACTAAATGCAAGTCTAGGCTCTGCAGAAACAGAAACAAATAAGGCAAACCTAGTCCTTGTATCTTTACAGCTTGCAGTCTAGCAGAATTATTTCGTGGAGAGAAAATCATTAAAGATTTTTAAACGAAGGAGAGACATGATCTAATTGAAATTTTTGAAGAACCTCTGGGTGTGCCATAGAGAAGGTATTGGAGAGGCAAAAAGTTGGAAAGAGGAGTATATGTTTGCAGATGAGGTGAAAGATGCGGATGACAGAAGCGGATAATTTTCGCACATATTTTGAAGGTGAAATAACAGTACTTGGTTGCAAGTTGTGATGCTAGGGGGGTTGCAGGAAGAAGAAAGCATCAAGGATGATGATGCTTTTTGTAAGAAGCAAATGGGTAAATGGAGATAATTTTTATGAAGAATGGTAAGGTTGAAGAAGAAATAAACTAACAAAAGGTAAATGATTGAGGAAGTGGCATAGATGTGCAGGCAGAACTAAAGAGTTTTGAATTCTGATTTTAGGAATGCCTGTGAAAATCCCAGTGGAGATTTCAAGATGGCAGGTGCACATAATGTTTTGGAGCTTGGGAGGAGAGGTCTGTAGGAGCCATATGCATATAAATGGTATCTAAAGCCATAGAAATTAATAAAACCTTGTCTAGAGTCTGTGTAGGCAGGGTTGTCCAATCTTTTGGCTTCCCTGACTGCATTCGAAGAAGAGGAATTGTCTTGGGCCACACACAAAATATACTAACATTAACAATATCTGATGAGCTAAAAAAAAATCATAAAATATCTTATAATGCTTGAAGAATGTTTACAAATTTGTGTTGGGTTGCATTCAAAGCTGTCCTGGGTCACATGTGGCCCACAGGCCATGGGTTGGACGAGCTTCATATGGAAAAAGAACAGAAGAGGACCCAGGATTTAGGAAGTTCAACATTTAAAGTTTGGGCAAAGAGGGAGAAGCTGATAAGAAAATATTTCAAGCTAGAGGAAGAGGTCAGGGGTCTACTCTACCGAATGTTCCTGAGACCCCATTGGACTTATATATTACATAATATGTACAATATATGTTACTTGGGTGATGGATACCCTAATAACTTTGAACTGACCACTATGCATGGAACAAAATTGCACATGTATCCCATAAATTTTATATAAACAAAAGTAAATAAATGGAAGGGAGAAAGAGAGAGAAGGAAGGAAGGAAGAGTGAGGAAAGGAAAGAAGGAAAGGAGAGCGAGGAAAGGAAGGGAAGGGAAGGGAAAGGAAAGGAAATGAAAGGAAAGGGAAGGGAAGGGAAGGAAACAAGGAAGGGAGAGCGAGGAAAGCAAAGGAAAGGGAGGGAAGGAAAGAAGGGAGAAAAAAAGAAAGAGGAAAGAAAGAGAGAAGAAAGAAAGAAAGAAAGAAAGAAAGAAAGAAAGAAAGAAAGAAAGAACGAAAGAAAGAAAGAAAGAAAAAGAAAGAAAGAAAGAGAAAGAGAGAAAGAAGAATAGTGTCATGATGTTTAGGAATCACCAATTCTGGGGGCGCTGAATTGTGTCCCCCCAGATTCCTATGTTGAAGAGCTGATCCCCACTGCCTCAGAGGGTACTGATTTAGAGAAGGCATTCAAAGAGGTAAGTGAGGTCAAATGAAGCCACATGGGTGGACCCTACACCAATATGGCAGGTGTCCATCTAAAAATAGATTGAGACACAGTCAACACAGCCTGAGGACACAGCAGGAAGGGAGGCATCTGCAAGGCAGCAGTTCTCAGAAGAAGACAAACCTGCTGACATTCCATCCTGGATTTCCAGTCTTCAGAGCTGTGAGAAGATAAACCACTCAATCTGTGGCAGCTTGTGATGGAAGCCCCTAGCACTCTTATATGGTGACCTTAGCACAAGAAGTTTCATAGGCTTGGTGAAAGTGAAAGCCAAACTGATCTGAATAAAGAGTGAAAAGAAAATGAGCAAAAGGAGATAGTAAATGTGGAAAATCCTTGAGAAAAATTTTCTAAGAAAGGAGGAGATGGCTTGGATAGCTAGAAAGACACACAGCATCAAAGTTAAGGTTCCTCCAAGATAGAAGATTTTTTAAATGAAAAATTTATATTTAAATGCTGACAGAATGCATCAAGAAGGAGAGAGATTGAAGATGCAGATGACAAATGGAAAAGCAAGGAACAGAATCCCTGAAAAGTCAGGAAAAGAAGGGAGATTATTAGAAGGATGTCCTTTTACAGTAAGAGGAATACTTCCTCCACTGCCCCAGGATTTAAAAAGCTTATAAATCACAGGAAACATTCTACCTAATTATAGAGCTTTATGCTTTTCAATACATTTTGTTGTACATAATACAGTCACTGTGAATTCAGTGAGAGAGAGAGTTATCCACATTTTACATAAAAAGAAAGAAAAGGCAGTAAAGAAGTGATTTGCTTGAAGTGACACAGAAATAGCTGGTAGAACCATGCACTGTGTAGATGGCAGGGCTCCTGACTTCTCATTTCACACCAGAAATGTAGACAGAATTAGATATAATGACAGTTATTATATTTTTAAACCTTTCAAATAAGAATATCCTTAGCTTTTCATTCATTAACAAAGCACAAAGCATGTGATTAGCATCTGAAAATGTTTTATTATACAATCACTAGACACCAAAAGAGGTTTCCATTTTCCTGTGTATTTGAAAGAGTTCGACAACCCTAAGTCACACAGTTGCAGGAAACTCAAACAAGGGAAGGTTCGTTTGAAGTGATGAAATTAGCATGATGAAGTTTACAATACAAAGATTTTTGTTTCAAGACTCTGAGGTTTGGTAGGGAGGAAGGGGAAAGGCAGATGACACCAAATAAGACTGGTTGGAGAGGGGATGAGAAGCGTCAACTAGAAAGCTCTTCAAATTCAAACGGACCGTTCAAACCATCCTAGGACTAGAATGCAATCGGGAAAGACTGAAAGAAATGATCTCCTACTCCCACAAGATGGCTAACCTGATTTAGGTAAAAAGCTTTTAGTTTTATGGCTGGGGAGGTAGCAATAAAGAAAATGAACCTCCTGCCAGTGATTCTTTTTCAAGCCCTGCAAATTCCTGTGTCTGGGGAAGCTATAAAGAATGTCCAGCCTCATGTCAAAAGAATTGCCACAGATCTCCAGCTCACCTGCATTGAAGCATTGAAACATCCCTAAGCCTATTCCCAGGCCAGCCTGGAACTGAGAATCCAGGAGAGTCTTTTCTGTTCTGCTTATGCAGCTACACTATCTACTTGTTAGCATAACAAGGGCCACCAGCAACAGATGCTAGAGAAATACAGAGAGCAAAAATCAACAGCTGATGAAAAGCAGAATCTTTTCTTTTTGACAGCAATACCAATAGCATGAAACACGTCCCTTTTAGAGCTTTCCAAACCACTTCAAAAGCGAGTTTTCTAGTGTGGATCAAGAAAGCTAGCCAAATTGCCCCTGAATGCATAGCCACTGGCCAAGATGTTGATGACTGTAGGCAGCTCAGGACCCATCCTCGGCCCCGGTGCTGTTTTTCTCAGAGCTCTGTTTAATTCCATCAGGCACGGGCAGCGTTTGGAGAAAGCTGTGTTGATTTTTGTCATCTTCAGCCAGCACAGAGGTGGCCAGTTCCCTAGCCTCCTAGCACCGTCCTTTTCCTGCCCTGCCCCTTCATGGCCTGCCTGAGCTCACTGGACCCAGACTTGCCTTCCGCCCCTGTCAAAACCTCACAGTCCTGTGTGTCTGTTTCGTTTTGAACTACACAAACTAACTAATTTGGTGAACCTATTAAGTGAACTTCTTTATACTCATGGTCTAGAGTGCATTGAATGCTAAAGGGTTTGCTAGAGATTGTCAAAATCAATTCTGTCTTCTTCCAACTGGACCAAGGCTTCTTTGAGTTAATAAAACTCTGAGAAATCTGAGTTGATTTTTCATAGTATCTCTTTCCATTCTTTTGGGGTTCTTTTGTTTGTTTTTTACTTTTCATGGAGATTTTCCTTAATTTAGCCCAAAAGATATACCCATATGACATTTGAACTAATATGAAAGAGGTAGTAGTACAAAGAATTTGAAGACAGCCTTTCAGAGCCCCACAAAGTACTTGAAATTTATCAATAAACTCCTCCCGGTGCTTCCCACCATATTCCACATTCCATCTCCATTTTAAGCCATGAAGCTTCAAGTGGCATCTCTTCCTGTGAAACCTACAGTTTGGAGATAAATTATTGGTGACTAATGACTTAGAAGAACCAAAGAAAGGATCCTCTAGTGGAGACACAGCATAGAAATGGTGGTCCAGGGTGAGATGGAACTGCTTCCAATCCCAGTGCCACCTGTGTGGTTCCAGCTGTGTGCTTCTCTTCCTCCAATCTTGTTTACTCATCTCTAATACGGGACTAATAACATATACATCAGACTATTGTGAGGGTTGAATGTAACGATATTCCAAATTGTTGCATGTGTCCAGTACTTAACATAGTGCCAAGAACAAAGCATGTATCAATAAGTATGAATAGCCTTCTCAGCGCACACCTCCAAACAGTGGATTTCTGGCCGGTGGCAAGCAATGGTTCCCAGTGGTCCTACAGGTTACGGTTTAACTTACCACTAGCCAATCAGTAAGTTTGCCTCAGACCACATCACAATTCTTTTGCAAGCCTGGAGCTTGGTGAAAAAAAAGGGGGAAAATAATCAATGTCCCTAAGGCAGATGCTGAAAGATTAACCTCATAACATAATTGTCTCACCAGAATTGTTTCCTGAATGTCTATTTAAATTTTAATTCTGCAAGTAAAATAAAATTGGTAATAATGAAGGTGATTAAGATGGTATTTGTCCAGGGAACGAATCTCCTCACAACATACCTAAGAGAGAGATATATGTACAGAAAACGAAGCACAGTAAAATACCACTTCATTACTATCGGAGATTTTCCCCAAACACAGAGAAAGCTCCACAGAGCTGAGCTTAAGCCAGAACTCTGTTATTTACTTGGCCTAATGCCAAAACAGGCCAGAGACCCCTTTCACCTACTTCTCTTTAATCCCAAACCCATGTCTCGGTTTGATCTAAGAAAGAGCCAAATGCCCAGGAAGCGCCAGGGTAGAGAAAAGCAGCCAGCTGCAGAGTGGCCTCCGTGCCAGCGGAGTGTGTCTGAGCTTTGTTTTATTTTTCTTATTTGTCTGTAGTTGTGTGATTGGTAGAAGAGAGTAGATATGAAGTCTACTGACACAGGATTGGTCTTCAGGCTTGTCTTACCAAGCATTTGGGGAAACAGAGGGGTTCCACAAATAAGAGAGCAATGATCAGACTTTCTTCTAAAAGGAGCAGGCACAAGCTACCTTAACTCTCCAACTTGCCCATTAATCTTCACCTAGAGTTAGGAAGATTTCACCATTAGCTGTGGCCCATAAAAGATCCTTAAGATTGACCAACCACAGAGGTCCATCTCCTTGAGGAGGAAGTAAAAGGGGTATGGACAGAAGCTGTGAGCTTTCTGTCCTCCACAGGCCCCCAGCTGTGTCTTCTACTTCTTGTACAAGGTAGTCTCCAAATGATGTTTTCTGGCTGACAGTGCCACAGTGCCTTATCTCACTATAGAAATGAAAGATTTCAAAGAATTTGTTGCCTGAAATATGGTGCCCTAATCACATATTAATAAAGCTGCTATCCAGAAAGAAGGCAGATTTCAAAAGAAAGGCTGTTAGCATTCTCAGGGACCTAAAAAGTACATATTGTAGAAAAATGGTAAATAGATCTTGGAATCAGGTAGACTTTAATTCAAACCCCAGCTATGCCTCTTATTAACTTATGTGACATTGGGAAAGCCTCTCAAATTTAGATTTGCAAAATCAGAATAATATAAGTAGCCAACAAATAGGGTTTAATGGAGGTAATAATGAAGGTGATTAAGATGATAAAATTAAATAGCGAATATAAAGTGCTTAGCATTTAATAAATTTATTGTAAGATTTCAAAGCACATGGTTTTACCTACACTGCTATAAAGCTGCTTGCAATAGTCAAAGCTAATAGAAGCTCTCGTCAGAGCTAATAGAAGCCTTGTGTATGTAATTATTTAAGGATTCTGTAAATATACATAATAAGGAAGGAATGAGAAAATCTTTAGAGGAAATATTCAAGTACGTTTGATTTCCAGCAAATCCAGATAGACAGTTTTGGCAACAACCAAGTCATAATTTTAAGTCTTGTTATAGGAGCTAGAATTTTATTCAAGGGACAACTGATTTGATTAGATTAGTTGCTGTGCACTGCATGTTTGCATCAACAAATGCACATGTTGAAAATCTTACAATAGAATGGCATTAGAAGGAGAACCTTTGGAAAGTAATTTGGTTTTGATGAGGATGGAGTTCCACAATGGGGTTAGCATCCTAATAAGAAGAGTAGGAGACTAGAGCCCTCTTCTCTCAGCCATGTGAAGATACAACAAGAACACCTGCAAACCAGTAAGATGGCCTTCACCAGACACTGGCTCTGCTGGCCCAGATTTTAATCTTTGAATTTCCACAACTGTGAGAAACAAGTATGTGCTGTTTAAGCCACTCAGTCTACAGTTGTTTGTAGCAGCAGCCTGAGCAGACAAAGACATAGGGTTCCTTTTATTTTCAGAATTCCGTTTAGCTGTAATCACCTACCATCCTGAGATGCTGTTTCCTCCCTCCTCCCTTGAAATATAAGCTCTGGGACTATAGCCTCATGGACAAATTCTGAAGAATTTGTCTCTGCTCTTGTGGGATGCTAACCTAACGAATCAAGGAATGCTTTCTCAATGGAATAAAACATCTTAATGCAGCTCACCAGCCAATATCTGCAGAGAACACCTCATGGGTTCTGGCTGGCTTGGATTTCTGAGACTACTTCATCGTACTCATCAGACTGTAGACTCGCATTCAGCCAGGAGGTCCAGATTCTAGCGTCAGTTTTGACCTTGGGATACAAAGGCACGTCCTGCTTCACTGAACATGAAACCCTGAATATTTGGCCATTACTCTGGCAGTTGTCCTCTCTCCCTGTGCCAATTGCCAATCAATGCAACTCCCAGGCAGCCTTGGCAGTTATGTCTGCTTGGCCGGCTGTAGCAGCCAATGACTTAGTAAAAGTCAGAACATAGGTCTGCTAGCTTCTAGTCCAGGATTTCCCCATAACTAGTCCATGTATATGTTAAACAACTAGGCTTGCTTTTAAAATTCTTTTTCATTTAGCCTCTTCTTAGAACTTATCATTTTGAGAATCCTGACCTGCCAATATTCCATAATCTTTCTGAAAGTGACACAGAAAATACGATGCATGCACACTGCTAACTGCAGCTGATTTTATTTTCCATCATCTATAAAGCACATAAGGTAATTTCTAAACCAGCAGTAAAATCTATTTATAAAGAGTGCTGATTTGTTTTCTGCACTTTCCAACACAGAGCTTCAATTTATTTCCTTACCATAAAAAGCCATTACTTTTTAAAGCAATCATAGTTACTATATTTTCTAAATGTTTTAATTTTTGTAAAGTCCAACTTGCAAATTGGAGTGTAAATAGCTTTCTTAAAATGGAAGGATCCGTGTTAGACCCAGTATGCTGATTGATGATTTCACTGTGCTTCAAAGCAGACGATTTCACAGTCATTGGGTATATAATGTAATGAGTTTTTATACAGCAATTGATATCATTAAAAATATAATTATAATAAAATTATAGGGAAAAGGAAATCTTCATTCTGACAATGCCAAATTTTTTAAGTAACTCATTGCTAAAAGATTATGTTTCTACATGAAAAATTTTACACATTCTTTCTATGAGATAAACCTGATAACACCCTGAAAACTTAATAGTTATGGAAAAGGAACTACTGTGATTTTTTTTAGAGAATATCGTGTTCTTGATGTTCTTGAGTGAGCTGTCTCATGTTATTAGAAGGGAAACAGCAGCACCTTGTGGACAAACAAAGAAAGTGAATGAATTTTTAGGACCCTGTGCAGTGCTTCAGGTCTGTAATCCCAGCACTTTGGGAGACCTGGGAGGAGGGTAACTTGAGCCCAAGAGTTCAAGACCAGCCTGGGCAACACAGTGACACGCCGATCTTTACCAAAAATTTGAAAAATTCGCTGGGCTTGGTGGCTCATACCTCAGGTCCCAGCTACTTGGAAGGTTGAGGTGGGAGGATCACTTAAGCCCAGGAGGTCAAGGCTGCAGTGGGTGTGATCATACCACTGCATTCCAGCCTGGGTGAGGGAGTAAGATCTTATGTCAAAAAAATTATCTTTATGTAGCACTTTCTACAAGGAATATAGTATCATGTTTGTATTTAAATGACATCAGGACCAGCATGGTGGCTTACACCTGTAATCTCAGCTCCTCAGACGGCGGAAGGCAGGAGGATCGCTTGAGGCCAGGAGTTGGAAGACCAGCCTGGGCAGCATAATGAAACCCCCATTTCTACAAAAATAATAATAGTAATCAAAAACTAGGCGTGCTGGCACACACCTGCAGACCTAGCTACTGTGGAGGCTGAGTGGAAGGATCACTTTGAGCCCAGGAGTTTGATTGCGTTGTGTATTGTGAGCTACGATCGAGCCACACCACTCCAGACAACACAGCAAGACCCAGTCTCTAAACAAAATAAAGGGACATCAGAGCATTGTTTATAGAGATTTATAAATGATCCCAAAATGTCTTCAGGGAGATAAATCATCTAAATATAGCTACATCGACTCTTCCTAAATTCCAAATTGGGGTGGGAAAAATAAATGAGATAGAAGACTTCTTGAAATGTATCAAGACTCAGGAAGACAAAACAAAAACTTTCATTAGGCAGTATCAAGAATGTTCATTAATGCCGTTTCTAATTTATGATACGATCATCTAAAGAGGAAATCCCAGCAACAAGAGGCCAAAGGAAAGGGAAAAGAAATGAAAACAACGACCATGCTTTCTACACTTTCAACTTCTCTACCACCTCTCAGCAAGACCTCCCACAGCCAATCACTGCTTTCTCTTGCGGGCTTACCCTCTACTCTGTGAACACATGAGCCAGAGAACCCTGAGAAGTCCCTGAGTCCCTTCCAGGGGCTCTGCAAGGTCAAAAGCCTTTTCATAAAAATACACAGGTTTTGTTTACCTTTTCCACTTTCATTCTCTCACAAGTATAATTGGAGTTTCCCAGAGGCTACCTGACATGGGATGTCACAAGAAATTAAACATAGAAGCAGAAAGGAGAACCAAGTTTTCTTCTATTAAACCAGACATTAAAGACATACCTAAAGATATAAAACAATGTCAATGTTCTCACCAACTTTTCTGCTTAAAAATTATAACTTTCAATAAAAATGTGATTTATGTAAACATATAAGTATATTATTTTATTTTTTTAATTTCTCAGTTTTAATGTTTAATATGATAAATATAGATAGATATAATCCAAATAAATAAAACCTCTTTGGGGTCCTCAATAACTTTTAAAAATGTAAAGTGTTCCTGAAACCAAAAAGTTTGAGGACTGACGCTCTAAACTCATACCCTTTGATGTAGCTTCCACCCAGGTCATTTCTTAAATACTTGATCAATCATTTCCCATGTCCCTCACCCTATCCTTGTTGCAAAATTCCATTTTCCTACTCCAGCCCTCCCTGTCATGAGAAAGTTCCCAGGTTGTAGACATGATTTACTAAATCTTTCTTACAGCTTTATGATGATAAAATGACCCATACAAATTGTATAAATCTAAGGTAACTTAATGTTTTGATATTTCTATACTTTTTGAAATGATCACCACAATCAAACAAATTAGCATATTATCTCTACATATTGACCATTGTGTGTTGACAGTAATTAATTTATGATCTAGTCCTTTATCAGAACACAAGAATATGATACAGTGTTGTTCCACGTTGTACATTATATCTCCAGAATTTATTATAACTTGAACATTGCACAATTTAATTAACATCACCCCATTTCCCCTCCCTGAGCCCCTGGCAACCACTGTCCTATTCTCTGTTTTTATGAATTTGACTGTTGTAGATTCCACATGTGTGTGAGATCATGAAGTATTTGTCTCTATGTCTTGCATTTTTGCTTGGCGCAATATCTTCCAGCTCCATCCATGTTTTCACAAATAGAAGGATTTCCTTCTTTTTCAAGGTTGTATAATATTTCATTTTAAGTATACACGCTACATTTTCTTTACCCATTCATCTGTTCCTCTGTCAAAGGACATTTAGGTTATTTTCATATTTTGGTCATTGTGTGTCATGCTGCAATGAACAGGGGATGACAGCCACCTCTCTAAGACTATTATGTCAATTTCACTGGACATATATCCAGAAGTGAAATTATTGGATTATGTGGTAGTTCTCTTTTTTTTTATTTTTGAAACCGGGTCTCACTCTGTCATCCAGGGTAAAGTCCAGTGGTAAGATCATAGCTCACTGCAGCCTTGAACTCCTGGGCATCAGCGATCCTCCTACCTCAGCCTCCTGAGTAGATTGGACTACAGGCGTACAACACCATGTCTGGCTAATTTTAATTTTTTTTTCAGAGATGGGGTCTTGCTATGTTACCCAGGCTGGTCTGGAGCTCCTGGCCTACTGCCTTGGCTTCCTCAAATCCTGGGATTACAGGTGTGAGCCACCACACCAGGCCAGTGCTATTTTCAATTTTTTTTGGAGGAACCTCAATACTGTTTTCTGTGTTTTACTAATTTGCATTCCCATCAATAGTGTATAATGGTTTCCTTTTCTCCACATTCTTACCAACACTTAACTTTTCTCTTTTTGATAATAGCCATTTTAACAGGTGTGACATGATATCTCATTGTGGTTTTGATTTGCATTACTCTGAAGTTTAGAGATGTTGAGCATATTTTCTTATACCTGTTAGCCATTTGAATTTCTTCTTTTGAGATGTATTTATTTAGGTCCTTTTCCTTAAAATAAAATTAGGTTATTTATAATTTTGGAATTGATGTGTATGTGTCCTTATTTTTTGAACTCCTTATAAGAGATATGGTTTACAAACATTTTCCCCATTTCATAGGTTGCCTTATCATTTCATTAGTTGTTTTCTTTGCTGTGCAGAAGCTTTTTAGTTCGATGTAATTCATTTATCTATTTTGCCTTTGTTGCCTGTGCTTTTGGCATCATATCTAAAGAAATTATTGCCAAGACCAATGTCAAGAATGTTTTCTCCTGTCTTCTTCCAGAAGTTTTATGGTTTCAGTGATTAGATTTAAAACGTTTAATCCATTCTGAGTTAATTTTTACATAAGGCGTGAGCTAGGGATCCGACTTCATTCTTTTACATGTAGATATCCAGCTTTCCTAACACCATTTGGTCAAGAGCATATCCTCTGCCTATAGTGTCTCCTTGTCACCTTCCAGGGTGACAAATGGCTGCAAATGTGTGGGTTATGCCTAGGTTCTCTATTTTGTTTCACTGGTTTATGTGTCTGTTTTTATGCCAATACCACAGTGTTTTTCTTTCTACAGCTTTGTAATTTGAAGTCAGGAAGTGTGATACCTGCAGCTTTGTTCTTCCTCAAAATAGCTTCAGCCACTCAGGGATTTTTGTGATTCTATATGAATTTTAGGATTTTTTTTTCTATTTCTGTGAGAAATACCATTGGGATTTTGATATGGATTACATTAAATGTGTAGATTGCTTTGAGTAATATGTACACTTTAATAATACAGTACTAACTCTTTCAATCCATGGGTTGTCTTTCAATTTACTTTGATTTAAATTTCTGTCATCAATCTTTTATAATTTGTAGTGTTTAAGTCTTTCACTTCTTTGGTTAGTTAGTTCCAAAGTAGTTTATTTGATACTGTTTTTTAAATTTCCCTTTCAGACAATTCATTGTTAGTGTTTAGAAATAGCAATGATTTTTGTAGGTCAATTGTGTATCCTACGACTTTAGAAAATTTATTATATAGTCAGTCCTTCATATCAATGGGTTCTGCAACCATAAACTCAATCAACCATGAACCTAACGTGTACATATTTTCCATCTGTGGTGGTTTGAATCCCCAGATGTGGACCCATGGATACATAGGGCCAACTGTACACGATTTTATGTGGGGGAGTTGATCATCACAGATTTTGTTATCTGAGGGGGTCCTGAAACAAATCCCCAGCAGATATGAAAGACTGACTGTATTATTTCTAACCATTTTCTTTGGAGTCTTTAGAGTTTTCAATGTATAATAATCATGTCTTCTGTTAACAGAGGTAACTATATCTTTCCTTTCAATTTTGATCCCTTTTATTTCTCTTGCCTGATTGTTCTGGCTAGGACTTCCAGTACTATGTTGAATAGGAGTGATGAGGTTAGACATCCTTGTCTTGTTCCAGATATTAAAGAAAAAGCTTTCAGTCTTTCCCCATTGATTATAATATTAGATATAGGTTTTTCATATACAGCCTTTATAGTGTTGAGGTAAGTTTCTTGTATACTTATTTTGTTGAGAGTTTTATCATAAAAGTATATTGAATTTTGTCAAATGTGTTTTCTGCATCTATTGGAATGTTATTTTTGTCTTTCATTCTGTTAATGTGGTATACCACATTATTAATTTTTACACACTGAAACATCCTTGTATCCCATAGATAAATTCCAATTGGTCATGGTGTATGACCTTTTCAATGTGCTTTTGAATTCAGTTTGTTATTTTGTATTTTATTGAGAATTTTTGCACCTGTATTCATTAAGGATACTGGTCTGTAATTATTTCTTATTGTGTTGTCTTCGTCTAGCTTTTAAGTTATGGTAACATCGGCCTCATGAAATGAGATTGGGACTATTCTCTCTTCTATTTTTTCTGAAGAGTTTAAGACATTTTGGTGTTAGTTCTTCTTTGAATGTTTGGTAGAAGTTGCCCATGAAAGCATCTGCACCTGGGTTTTTCTTTGTTGGGAAATTTTTGATTACTGATTAAATCTCTTTGCTTGCTTTTGGTCTGTTCTACTTCTTTTTTGTCCCACCTTGGTAGATTGCATCTTTCTAAGAATTTATCTATTTCTTTAAGTTATCCAATTTATTGGCATATAATTGCTTAATTGTCCTTTATAATCATTTGTATTCCTGTACATTTGTTATAATGTGTCCATTTTCATTTCTGATTATATTTACTTGAGTTTCTCCTTTTTTCTTTGTGTACCTAAGAGTTTGTTATTTTTGTTTGTATTTCCAAAAATTCAACTCTAGCTTTGTTGATTTTTCTATTGTTTTTTATTTTATAGTTATTTTATTTATATTCTAATCTTTATTATTTACTTCATTATGTTAACTTTGGGTTTAGTTTGTTTTACTTTTTCTAATTGTTTATTTGTAAAATTAGGTTTTTCGAATGAGATCTTTCTTATTTTTTAATATAGGTATTTATCACTGTAACATTTCCCTCTTAGCACTTCTTTTGCTGCATCCTGTAAGTTTTGTTGAGTTGTATGTTCATTTTTGTTTGTCTCAATATATTTTAAAAATTCCCTTTTGATTTCTTCTTTTACCCAATGGTAGTTGAAGAGTGTGTTGTTTAGTTTCTGCATTTTTGTAAATGTTTCTCTTTTCTTTGTTATTGACTTCTAATTTTATTCCATTGTTGTCTGAGAAGATACTTGGCATTATATCAAACTTCTTAAATTTGTAGGATGCCTCGTGACCTAAGATTTGATCTATCTCAGAGAATATTCTGTGTGCACTTGAGAAGAATGTATATTCTGCTGCTGTTGGATAGAAAGTTTTGTATATGTCAGTGTTTAATCTACTGTGTTGTTCAAGTCAGCTGTTTCCTTTTTTTTATTCCTGCCTAGATGTTCTATCCATTATTGAATTTGGGGTACAGAAGTTGGCTACTATTATTTTAGTGTTACTGATTTCTCCCCTTAGCTTTGTTGATATTAACTTTATATATTTAGGTGTTCTAATGTTGGGTGGATATATATTTATAATCTTCCCATTGAAGTGAACTTTTATCATTATATAATGACCTTCTTAGTCTCTAGTGACAGTTTTTGATTTCAAGTTTACTTTTTCTGATCTAAGTATAGATACCCTTGTTCTTTTTTGGTTACCATTGGCATAGAGTATCTTTTCCCATCCCTTCACTTTGAGCCTCTATGTATCTTTATATCTAAAGTGACTCCCTTATAAATATGTACTGATGAGTATCTTTTATGCATTGTGCCACTCTATGTCTTTTAATTAGATAGTTTAATCCTTTCACATTTAAAGTCTTGTTGATAGGTAAGGAGTAACTTGAATTTTGTTAATTGTTTTTCATATGTTTTGCAGTTCTTTTTTTTCCCCTCTCTTGCTGTCTTCTTAGTTTGGTTATTTCTTGTAGTGGTTTGGTTTCATTTATTTTTCTTCACATTTTTTGTATCTCCTATAAGTTTTTGATTTGTGGTTGCAAATGTACATCTTCTAAAAAAAGCTGTCTTAATGTTATCAGCTTTTTTGGAATCATTTTCTTTCTCTTCCCTCTTCAGACATATTTGCAAATACTCTGTTTTTCAAGACACGAGTAAATAGGGCTCTGGTTAGAAATTTATCAATATGAAAAAATATACTCTGAGTCTTTTGATAAGTTAGAAAATAATGATAGACTGCGGTAGAATGTCATGTATTTCAAGTTCTGTCATCTATGTTACTCTGCAATATATTTTCTGTGTGTATTAGTCCATGTTATATATTTACAAGGTAAATCCATAAAGCATACATTCTAGAATGCCTTAACTTAGGTCCTTAAGAGATATGTTCCTTATAGCCTTCTTGGCACTCCTGAAGTGTTAAATATTTCCATTGAAGAAGGTTGCATATGGCTTCTGAGATGAAGTCTAGACAGGTTAGGATTATTTTTTGCTCCTTTTGCCCACACAGCACCCACTGTCCCCTCCCTTTGTTATTAGCCATTATCTGAGACCCTAGATAAAGCCACCTTCTGTCCTTCAGTTTTGGCGTGGGGGCTGATTTCACCCCCAGTTTCAGGAATAAGCACAGGACAGCTACTAACAAGTATGTTGTTTACTCAAGGAAGAAACCCAGCTAAGGGAGAAAGGGGGGCTGAAATCCAGCCTGCATGCTCTTCCCCAAGCCACATGCCCTGATACAGGGCTGCATCTAACTGGAGAAAGGGGAGCCATTTTCTAATACTTGCAAAGGCACTGTGTGGACAGTGGAAACCCTGTATGAGTTCGTGACACAGGCCTGGCCAGTGAATACACTTCTAATCCTGGCACAGATGAAACTAGAGATGGACATGAAATCCAAGCCTCACACCCAAAGTCAATCTCTAGTCTCTTATTGAAACTATTAGAAGTGTTTCTCTTTTTGCTTTATTCTGAGGCTGTGGAACTAAGGAAATGTAAACTGGAGGAGTGATGATGGCCACATTGCAGCACAAAGGGAAAACTTGTCTGAGAATAAAATCAATGGGGAAGAAAAAAGCAAGGAAGAGGAGAGGAGCCAAGCCCTGAGTCTCTACGTTCAGCCATTCTGAAGCTATACCCTGGATTTTTCCATTATACGAGTCCACAAATTAATTTTTTTTTTTGGCTTAGACCAGTTTGAGTTTGAATTCTATTATTTATATCCAAAGGAGTCCTACCATATTATCTTAGCCGAATTTTCATAAACATGGTATATGTTGATCAATGAACTTCCTAAATGTTTCAAGTTCACTCCAAAGAGTAGGGCAAAAAGAAAGAAGAGGAAGAAAATGGTTACTTATCATCCACAGTAGTCAAGGAAACTGCAGAAGCATCAAGCAAAAGCAGCAGAAGTTAGCTTTGTACTCCCACAAACCCTGCTCTGAAGTACTCCACCTAGTGGCCAACAGCAGAAGCTGCATTTCTAAAATCTTTAAAAAGACAGAAAAGGAATCACCGCTTACACTGGACACCCTAACAGGGGAGCAGACCACATAGGAATATGTCCCATTGGTTTGAGATCGATAAGTCCATTTTCAAAGCTTTAGTAATTCCAGAAACAAGAACATATTTATTTTTCTTTGATCACACAATGCCTAGTTATATTAAAAGTAAGGAGACATTCAATAAATACCTTTTATGGAAATAAAAACAGACAATTTAGGAGAAAATTAACTATCAATGCATTATTTTCAAAGGTAAAGAAAAAAGAAATTATTCTGAACACACAAAACTATTTTATCAAATATCATGGTAAATTATCGTTATATACTAGGTCACTTAATAAATTTCCAGAGATGATTGAAAAGAGTTTCCACAATAGATTTTGTTTCACCCCAGGAAGAAGTTTCACAAAAAGTTAGTTACTTATCTCTATTGTTACTAGTACCAAACTAATCCTATCATTCTGAGTCAAATTACAAATAACGTCCACACTTTTCTCCAGTGAGATCACAGGAGATGCCTAAGTGGAGTGTGTTTTAATGTGAGGGGATAACTGGTTTATATTTTTCCCTGAAAATAACAAATTCTAGACAACTTAAGCAAAACAGGAATTCAATGAAAGGATATTGAATAGTTCACAAAATCCTCGAAGATGCTGGAGAAGCAAGGTAAGAACTGAGGGAAACTCAGCACAGCCAAGTTCATTCGACGGAAGCAGATCTTGGATGCCACCACTAGGATGTTGTCATTTGACACTTGTCACCATGTAGCTGGGCTCTGCTGAACCTAGGCACTTGCTGCCACATTCCTGGACCTGCATCTCTGCTCAATTTCTCAGAATCTTCTCTGATTCTTTCAGGTCTTTTGCATCATTTCATCGGGTTCCTAGTTCTAATAAAGAGACATCAGTTGGCTGGGCCTAGATATGTGCCCACACGTGAGTGGCCAAGAAACTGGAAAAAGGATCATGCATTCCCTTTCTGCTTTTGTAATGGAACGTGGGGCCTGTCCTCATATTTCGCTTGGGGTTCAAAAAACTAGGAAGGGTGTTTTGTTGAAATGAAACCCAAAACTATAGCTATCCATTTATAGCACCTTATTTGTACAGGAAGAAACCATGAGACAAAATGTATAAAAGTGCACGGGAGGTCTAAACATATGAGGGGTTTTTTGAGGAGAGAAAGATCATACTTGATTGGTGCTGTGGTTTCACTGTGCCTCCTCCGAGATTCAGTGTTGACAATGTGATAGTGTTGAGGTGGAGCCTACAGGAAGTGATGAGGCCATCAGGACTCCTACCTCAGGAATGGGTTTAGGAGCCCTCATGAAAGGGTTCCATGGAAGGAGTTCATCCCTCTTGCCCTCCCGCCTTCCACTATGTGAGGACACAGTGTTCCTTGTCTCTGGAAGATGCAGCATCAAGACATCATCTTGAATGGAGAGAACAGCCCTTACCAGACATCAGACCTGCCAACGCCTTGATCTTGGACTTCCTAGTCTCCAGAACTATGACAGAAAAATGTCTGGTTTTCGTAAATTGCCTAGTCTGCGTTATTTTGTTGTAAGAGCATAAATTGACTAAGACAATTGGGGATTAAAAAAAGTTTTTTGAAGTGGCATTTGAGAAGGGCTTGATAGATAAGATCTCTACAAATAGAAATAGAGAGATGGTTTCAAATCACTCAGGTGAAAGGAATAACATAGCCATGTTTAGTCTGAATGCAAAATGGAGATGGTAAAAAGTACATAGGATTCCACCACCAGTGGGAGGACAGAATTGTATTGTGGCAGCAATCTGTAAATATAATATTTATCACTCATTCACATTTATTTAGAGTCTAATGTGTTCTAGGCTCTGAAATTAAGCAAAGAAAATCTAGATATGCATAAGTCCAAGACTTTGCCTTTGTGACAGCCAAAATAATGACACCATAAAGATGTTCTAGTCCCTGGAATCTGTGACCATATTACTTTACATGGGGCAAAAGGGACTTTGGAGATGTGATTAACCCTTGAGTTAGGGGGATTATCCTTGATTATCTTGGGGGCTAATCTAATTGCATGTGTCTATAAAATCAGAGAATCTTTCCTAGCTACAGTCAGAAGGTGATATGACTACAGAACAATGGTCACAGACATCCCACTTTACTGGCTTTGAAGATGGAGGGATTGTCCCATGATCCAAGGAATAGGGACAGCATCTAAAAGTCAGAAAAGGAAATGGATTCTCTCTAGAGCCTCCAGAAAGCAATACAGCCCTGACAACAGCTTGACTTAAGCCCAGTAAGACCACAGTCAGAGGTCTTCCCTACAGAACTATAGGGTTGTAAGTCTTTGATTTAAGCCACAAAGTTGTGGTAATTTGTTATGGCAGCAATAGAAAATTAATTTTAAGAACTTTATTATTTGGAAGATAGGCAGACCAGAAAATCCAAATTATAATACAATTCGATTAAAACCTATGGAGATTTGGGCTAGGTGTTTTAGAAAAGAATTGAGTATTAACAAGACTAACAGAAGAAATACTCTAAAATTTACACACTAAGTACATCACATTTTTCTAATGATCACGTTGATAGAGCAACTTAGAATCTATGTTTTTTATGGTTTTAATAAACCAACAAGCATATATATATAAAATATATGGAATAGCCCCATGGGTACAGGCAGCCCTGGGTCAAAGTGTGGCACTATACTAGCAGCCCACACCCCACCTCACCCACCTACCCTGAGCTGACTTGTCTGCTAAATGCTAAATAAACCTGTCAACCTGTCTGGTTTAACTTAGAAGGGCCTGGATGCAACAAGCCTGAGGGCTGTGACTGGGGGAAGAGAGAGCACAGACGGAGCTCCTCCTCCTTCTGCCACTGCCCACCAACTGAAAACCACCAACTGAAGTTTGCTTAGATTCTCAGCCTACACCTTGTTCCCAACGAAACTCATGCAATACTTTGGCTCCCACTATAATCTCTGGAACAAAATATTCTACGGATCTGCTTTTTGAGCTGCAACTTATCTTACTAAATTCCAAGAAGCTTATGTAAGAGAAAACCACCAGATAATACAAGATTTTCAATGTGATCATCATTGCTACTTTTAACTAGAAATTATCCAGTAAATGTATTGTGAACTGCTTTGTGACTATGGTGATTTATTTAGTCTTTCTGATCCTTGGTTTGATTATCTCAAATATGTGAGTATCACCAATTTTATAAAGTTGCTCTAAAAATTAAATTAAAGAAAAATAATCATCCTTCTCCATATATTGAACACTTACAAAATTATAGGCATTGTGTCCAGGTTCTTACATACTTACCTGAAAGAAGTCTCCTAACAACCCTCTCTTTTAAATTACAAGCATTTTGCCATGATTTTTACACATGTACATTATGGAAGCCTCGTGACAATCACATCTTTTGTAGATCAGCAAACTGAGGCTCAGACGAATTAAAAACACATTCACCATCAAATCATAATGAGAGATGGAACTGGGATTCAAATCCGGTTCTCTCTGATGCCAAAAATGGTGCAATTTAACGAGGACAAAGTTACACCCAGAACATGGAGGGATCAAAACATGTGGATTCCCTTTTCTGCCCCCTCATGTGGGAATTTCAATAGCTTTCACTGCCTCAGAGCAATCTTAAACTCCCTCCCAGGTTGCCTTGCAATGGCCCCCTTATTCGTGGGGATTATTAGGAATCTGCATTTTTGGACCACAAGCATCTACAAAGAGTTGTGTTGATAAAGAAATAAAATTTTCTAGGCCATAGGTTACGTGAATTGTCTAGTTTCTCTGCAAAAAATAAAGGGGCTATTCCATGTAAAAAAATCACAGGATCCACTGAATCTGTGCAGAAAGACATATAACTATACGGCAGGAGCATCTTACTGACAGCTGCGTCTGAAGACTAGCCCAAACACACAAAGCAAGAGCACCTCCAATGACCAGGTGTGGTTGCTCTTGCCTGTCATCCCAGCAGTGTGGGAGGCCAAGTTGGGTGAATCACTTGAGGCCAGGGGTTTGAGATCAGCTTGGGCAACACAGTGACACCTTGTCCCTACAAAAAAATCATTTTTTATTATTAGAATCAAGAAGAGTACCTCTAACCCCTTGCCGTTGCTTTAGGGTAGAGAGCTCTGGTCTAGAACTCAAGATATGAAACTGTGAGTCCTAGTGTAGCTACTTAAATTTAAATACAAGAGCTGTCAGACATTTCCTCTACAGCAACGAAATCTGTAGCATCCATTTTGTATTTTGAAAACTTAGTTTTTGGCCAGCCTCTAGGAAGAAGAAGAGGGCCCAGAACTGGGCATATGGGTATGGAGGGGAAAAGAAACCAGCTGGATGCAACAGGGAAAGACGAAGGGATGGAGACCCCAGGCAGAGCCAGTCCTCATGCTTGGGGCCTGGGCCTAGGAAAGGAACTAGGTGAAGAAGGGAGGAGCCCCAGGCTGTGGATGTCTCTAGGGGAACCTTGGTTCAGCAACGGCCAGAGGAGCTCCTGAGGCCAAGCGGTGTCTGTCGCCTCCCTACCTTTGGGCGTCTTCTGGTCGCCAATGTGCTACAGGTCATGGCTCCGGAATCAAATTGGGCTCAAATTGTGCGAGCTCCAATGCAGTGGAGCCTGGCACTACTTCCACCTCCACCTCGTGGATCTCAGAGCTGCAGGATGGCTCTGCCCACCGCACCCTAAGCTGGCCTCGCTTGGGGCTGGCATTGGGGGACAGCATGTTCTGGACGTCTCTGCTCCTTTCTGCTGGTGCCTGTGCCTTTGCTGGCCGCCCATTCATAGATATCAGAGCCACAGGACGGCCCTGCAGAACCCCTGCGCTGGCCCTGCCGGGGGCTGGCTTTGGTGCACATGCGACTTGTCATCGTGGTCCCCATGGGGCACCTCTGCTCTTCTCGAGGCAGCTTGGGCCTTCACTTGCCCCCACGTCTGCAGAGCTGAGCACCTGCCACCTCTCTCCAGGAAAGGCAACCAAATGCCACCAACTTAAGGCACCCACTGAAGGCCACCAACTGAAGGCCGGTTGCCCTGCCAACCAGATCGTGTCCTGCTTAAGAAGAACCAATCAGGCCTTGAGTTCCTTCCAAGCGCTGCCCTTCCATTTGTGACTTGGGAGTCCAGGCAGTAGGTCACAAAGCCGCGCCCCCCAGCGACCCCGCCCCACCTTTCATTTATTGGTAGTTTGTAGCAACTTTCAGTTTTTCTCACTGTGAATTATGAATATGAATTATGATGGAATTACTGTATCCTAATGTACCTCATGCACTATCTGACAGCCAAAGTCCCCTCTTCCCCCATGGCCTCTGAGTTTTTTGGAAACTAGAAAGAAGATACATTTCTGCAGGTGCTTTCAGAATAAAACATTACCACGATCTAAGGTTACTCTGTGATGTCAAGTCATATTTCATATGTCATACGTATTCATATTTATATTCATAATTCAAAATGCACATATTCAATCAAACTAACAGGACTAAAAAGGAAATTTTCTAAAATTTATACACTAAGTACCTTATATTTTTCTAATGATCACTTTGATAGAGCAAACTTAGAATCTATGGTATCAACAAATGAAGAGGCTTATGCAAGAGAAAACCACCACCTAACACAAGATTTTCAATGTGACCATCATTGCTACTTTTCACTAGCAATTATCCAGTTAATATATTGTGAACTGCTTTGTGACTATGGTGATTTATTTAAACCTACTAATCCTTTGATTATCTCAAAAATATGAACAATACTAATTTTATAAACTTGTTCTAAAAATTAAATGAGAGGAAAATAATCCTCCTTCTCTATATATTGAAAACCTACAAAATTAGTAACATTGTGTCCAGATTTTTACACACTTACCTTATTGAAGCCTTATCACAACCCCATCTTTTAAATTACAGGGATAATTCCCAGATTTTTAAACACTTACCTTATGCAAGTCTCATAACAATCCCATCTTTTATAGATGAGCAAACTGAGGCTCAGACGAGTTAAAAACACATTCACCATCAAATCATAATGAGTGATGGAACTGGGATTCAAATCCAGTTCTCTCTGACACCAAAGGTGGTGCAATGTAATGAAGACCAAGTTATATCCAGCACACGGAGGGATCAAAACATGTGGATTTCCTTTCTCTACCCTCTTACATGTGAATCTCAATGGCTTTCACTGCCTCAGAACAATCCTAAACTCCCTCCCAGGTTGCCTTGCAGAGTATCCCTTCTTTTTGGGGACGATTAGGAATCCACATTTTTGGATCACAGGCATCTATAAAGAGTTGTGCTGATCAAGAAATAAAATTGTCTAGGCCATAAGTTACTGTGAATTGTCTAGCTTCTCTGCAAAAAATAAATGGGCTATTCTCTTTATTTTTTGTTATTCCTCTATTGACAATAGCCTAGAATCAACCTAAGTGTCCAAGAAGACTTGGTTTAACCCTGGGGATTACTAACGTTTTCACTGTGGTCATTGCGATAGATTATATTACCATTCTCCCATTATCTGGTCTTCCTACTGCAGTGGCCCTATCTCCTAGAAGATTATACATTTCTGTCCTATTGAAGGAAGGGTCAGATTTAGACATGTGACTTGTTTGGCCAGTGAAATGCAGGTAGAAGTGGCATGTGTAATTTGTAAGCAGAAAATTTCCTTTTTCAAGGATCTGGGAGCCATCTCTTTCAAATGTAGTCCTCCAGAAAGATAATACCTTATTTCCCAGTATCCATGAGAGACTAAGAGCCTAATCTTGCTCCAAGTTGTAAAAATTACCTTATATCATAAAGATAAAAGAAAGTTTATTTTTCCTTTGAGAAAAGACAGTTAGCAAAGACAGGTGGCCTATGATCGCCCCCTTACCCTCACTTTCAAAAAATCCACGGCCCTTTGTATCAGGGGAGCTGAGATCAGACTAGGTCTGGCCTCTCTCCCGTATTGCAATAGCTTGAATAATATCTTCTTTATTTATTTAACTTTTTCCAGTGCAATTTTTTCTTTGACTCTTTCCTCCCTCTCTAAAACTTACATTGAAATTTTAGTAGAATTCAAGGCAGCCAATCTCGACCCTTGAATATATAAAAGAACACTTTAAGATTAAAAAACCCAAGTTATCTTCCATAAGTTATTACTTTGGACTACTGCCTACACAGGGAGGGGAACATCACACACTGGGAATTGTCAGGGGATGGGGGGCTATGGGAAGTATAGCATTAGGAGAAGTACCTAATGTGGATGACGGGTTGATGGTTGCAGCAAACCACTGTGGCACGTGTATACATATGTAACAAAACTGCACATTCTGCACATGTACCCCAGAACTTAAAGCATAATAAATAAATAAATAAAAAGTAAATTTAACTTAAAAATGTTTTTAAAAAAGTTTCTAGTTCTTATTTTTGCATTGAAAAGGAGAATGATGATTTTTAAATAAGTTCCTCCTCACTTTTAATTTCTACTATCACAGTTTTATTGCTTTTCATGGCAATAGATTCCTCTGGTTCAACAAGAGGGCCAGAACAAGGAAGTACAGAAACATCTCAATATATCTCAAAAAGTTATTTAACATGGACAGTGTCATTTAATATCTTTAACATCCCTATCAAATGGATGCTATTACTATCCCTCTTTTACAGGATATTAAAATTTACATACTGTAAATAACCAGCTGAAAGTCATATAGCATGGAAAATACAATAAACATACAAAGAAGCAATGGCATTAGAAGTGGAGGGGGGTGAAGGATTAAAAGGCTAAACTTAGTTTGGTTAAGAAAAAAGAAAAATAGGAGGTGGCAAACTCTTGTTGGAAAGAGGAAGGATTTGGGCAGAGCAAGGTAGTGGAGTCGACCTATCCAATAATCATATGCCTACGGACACATCTATATGAACAACTATCCACATATGAAATTACCTTTACAAGAGCTAATGAACCCTGAATACATGAGTGAGTCTATGAAGCCCCTTTGGACTGCAAAGAGGAATAAAACCATGCTTGGACAGTAAGGGAAACAGTACCCTGTGACTATGATACTCCTCCCCCAGGACATAATGGTATTATATGCAGAAAGTCCTCTTGAACTCACAGTTCTTACACTGAATAAAGTGAGCAGAAGTTGAATATTTTTTCCACCATACTGAGTGCCTTCACAGTAGACTCACTCCTGCATCAGCCCACAAGAAGCACCATGAGTGTCAACAGAGCTTAACCATCAGAGGCATGCTAGGGACATAGAGAAGGGATAGGGTTAACAATACTTACTATATGAAACTTAGCAGTGGCTAGCCATTCCTACCAGAGGAAACATTATACCAGATAGGTTGTTTATGGGCACCACGCTGTGGGATACAGGATACACAGACTGTCCAGATTTGATGGCCTGACTTGTTCTCCCCCAACAGACAGCAGCCTTTCTGTGGATCACCCATGGGCCCATCCAGTTACATTGCATCAGTGGTGAAGCCCCATTGCAAGACTTATGTCTAACCTTTGCTTTAGGCACCTCCTAATGCTAAAATGGAATATAATGTAAATCCACACAGAATTTCTAAACAAGCCCACTGAGAAACAGTCAAAAACAATCCCAGACTGAGAAGATTGAAATAAATATTTAATTCATCAATATGTAGATGGAGATGTACATCTTCAAAAAATAAGAATAGCCTAGGAAAAACTGCCTCACCAAATGGAGAAAACAAGGTGTCAGCAACTGAACCTAAAGACATGCAAATGAATCATGTGGCAGACAAAAAAATTCAAATAGCTGTTTTTTTTAAAAAAGAAAAATCTGTGCATTTCAACAAAGTACAGAGAAACAATATGGAAATTTAGGAGAAATTCAACAAAGAATTTAAAATAATGGAAAAAAATCAAATGGAAATCCTGGAGGAGGAAAGTTCAGTAAACAAACTGAAAAATGCGCTACAGGGCATCAAGAGCAGAACTGATCTAGTAGAAGAAAAAAAGCAGTGAGCTCAAAGACAGTCTCTTTGAAAATACACTGTCAGACTAGAAAAGAGAAAAAAATGAGAAGAAACAAAGAAAACTTATGAGATCCATGGGACACCATCAAAAAAACAAATCTACAATGTTAAAGTTCAACTAAGAATGAAAAAAAGTTAGAAGCTTATTCAGAGAAATAACAGACAACTTTTTAAACTTGGAGAAGGATTAAGATGTTTAGGATGGCCAAAGCTCACTAATCTGATTTAATCTGAATAAGACAACCACAAGATCTATTATAATTAAATCTTCAAACGTCAAAAAAAAGAAGTAGGTCCTGAAAGCACTAAGAAAAAGGAAGCATATAACACACAAGAGAATTCCAATGTGCCTGGCAGCAGACTTCTCAGCAGAAACAATATGGACCAGGAGAGAGTAGGATAATAGAATCAAGTGCTGAAGAAAAAAATTGTCAACCATGAATACAGTATCCAGCACAGCTCTCATTTAGAAATGAAGGAGAGGTTAAAACATTCTAAGACAAACAAAAGATGAAGGAATTCATTGTAACCATACCTGCCTTAAAATAAATGTTAAAGAACAGTCTTCAAACTGAAAGAAAAGGGCACTAATATGTAATACAAAAAATTGGAAGGTATAAATCCACAGGTAAAAATAAATATTCAGACAAATTCTGGATGCTCTAATATAGTAAAGAGTGAATGTAAGCCACTTACATGTTTTTAGCACGAAGGTTAAAATACAAAACAAAAATAATAACAACTACAATAATTTGTTAAGGGATAAGTGATGTAAAAGATGTAAATTAAGACATCAAAAATGCAAAATATGGGGGAGTGATTGAGTTAAAGAGCAGGGTGATTGCTTTTCCCCATTTCTTATTATCAAAATTAAGCTGTTATCCATTCAAAATTACCTATTGATACTATAAAATATTCTTCGCATGCCTCATAGTAACCAAAAGGCAAACATTTTTATTAGATACACTAAAAATAAAAGAACAAGAAACAAAAACACACAGAGAAAATCACTTAACTACAAAGGAAGACAACAAAGGGAAAAAAAGGTACAAAAATTCTAAAAGACAACAAGAAAACAGTATATGGCAGTACAAGTCCTTATCTATCAATAATTACCTTGAATGTAAATAGATTAAATTATCCAGTAAGAAGACAGAGAATGGGTAAATGGATTAAAAACAAGACCTAACTATATTCTTTTTACAACAGACTCCCATCACCTGTAAATACACTCATAAATTGAAAGTGATCAGATGGAAAAATATATTTTATGACAATGGAAATCAAAAGAATGCAGAAGTAGTTATATTTATATCAAATAAAATAGACCTCAAGTAAAAAAACTGTAAACACAGACAAACAAGGCCATTATGTAATAATAAAAGGGTCAGTACAACAAGAGAATACAATAATTGTAAATATATAATGCACTCAACTTTGGAGAACCTAAATATATAAAGCAAACATTAATAGATCTAAAAGGAGAGACAAAAAAACTGTACAATAATAGTAAGAAACCTCGACATCCCATTTTCAGCAATGAACAGATCATTGAGAATGTCAACAAAGAAACATTTAAACTGCACTCTAGATCAAAAGAATTTAACAGTTATTTACATAACATTTCATCCAACAATTGCATAATTCACTGTCTTTTCACCTGCATATGGACTATTGTCCATGATAGATATGTTAGACCACAAAACAAGTCTTAGCTAATCAAAAAATCAAATCATATCGTGTTTTTTAAACCACATGGAATAAAGCTAGAAATAAACAACAGGAGGAAATTCAGAAATTGTGCAAATACATACAAATTAAACAACATATCCTTAAACAACCAATGGGTCAATGAAAAAAAATTTAATTTTAAAAATGTCTTAAGACAAATAAAAATGAAATCAGAACATATGAAAACTTATGAAATACAGCAAAACAGTCCTTAGAGGAAAGTTTATAGCAATGCATTTCTACATCAATAAGGAAGAAAGTTAATGAATAAATCATCTAACAATGTATTTCAAGGAAGTATAAAATCAAGAACAAACTAAGACCCAAATTAGCGAAAGAATATAAAGATCAGAGCACAAATATACAAAATGAAGATAAAAAATACAAACGACTAATTAAATGAAGGAATCTTTTTTGAAAAGGTAATGCCTAGGTTTTCTTCTAGGGTTTTTATGGTTTTAGGTTTAACGTTTAAATCTTTAATCCATCTTGAATTGATTTTTGTATAAGGTGTAAGGAAGGGATCCAGTTTCAGCTTTCTACATATGGCTAGCCAGTTTTCCCAGCACCATTTATTAAATAGGGAATCCTTTCCCCATTGCTTGTTTTTCTCAGGTTTGCCAAAGATCAGATAGTTGTAGATATGTGGCATTATTTCTGAGGGCTCTGTTCTGTTCCATTGATCTATATCTCTGTTTTGGTACCAGTACCATGCTGTTTTGGTTACTGTAGCCTTGTAGTATAGTTTGAAGTCAGGTAGTGTGATGCCTCCAGCTTTGTTCTTTTGGCTTAGGATTGACTTGGCAATGCGGGCTCTTTTTTGGTTCCATATGAACTTTAAAGTAGTTTTTTCCAATTCTGTGAAGAAAGTCATTGGTAGCTTGATGGGGATGGCATTGAATCTGTAAATTACCTTGGGCAGTATGGCCATTTTCACGATATTGATTCTTCCTACCCATGAGCATGGAATGTTCTTCCATTTGTTTGTGTCCTCTTTTATTTCCTTGAGCAGTGGTTTGTAGTTCTCCTTGAAGAGGTCCTTCACATCCCTTGTAAGTTGGATTCCTAGGTATTTTATTCTCTTTGAAGCAATTGTGAATGGGAGTTCACCCATGATTTGGCTCTCTGTTTGTCTGTTGTTGGTGTATAAGAATGCTTGTGATTTTTGTACATTGATTTTGTATCCTGAGACTTTGCTGAAGTTGCTTATCAGCTTAAGGAGATTTTCGGCTGAGACGATGGGGTTTTCTAGATAAACAATCATGTCGTCTGCAAACAGGGACAATTTGACTTCCTCTTTTCCTAATTGAATACCCTTTATTTCCTTCTCCTGCCTGATTGCCCTGGCCAGAACTTCCAACACTATGTTGAATAGGAGCGGTGAGAGAGGGCATCCCTGTCTTGTGCCAGTTTTCAAAGGGAATGCTTCCAGTTTTTGCCCATTCAGTATGATATTGGCTGTGGGTTTGTCATAGATAGCTCTTATTATTTTGAAATACGTCCCATCAATACCTAATTTATTGAGAGTTTTTAGCATGAAGGGTTGTTGAATTTTGTCAAAGGCTTTTTCTGCATCTATTGAGATAATCATGTGGTTTTTGTCTTTGGCTCTGTTTATATGCTGGATTACATTTATTGATTTGCGTATATTGAACCAGCCTTGCATCCCAGGGATGAAGCCCACTTGATCATGGTGGATAAGCTTTTTGATGTGCTGCTGGATTCGGTTTGCCAGTATTTTATTGAGGATTTTTGCATCAATGTTCATCAAGGATATTGGTCTAAAATTCTCTTTTTTGGTTGTGTCTCTGCCCGGCTTTGGTATCAGAATGATGCTGGCCTCATAAAATGAGTTAGGGAGGATTCCCTCTTTTTCTATTGATTGGAATAGTTTCAGAAGGAATGGTACCAGTTCCTCCTTGTACCTCTGGTAGAATTCGGCTGTGAATCCATCTGGTCCTGGACTCTTTTTGGTTGGTAAGCTATTGATTATTGCCACAATTTCAGAGCCTGTTATTGGTCTATTCAGAGATTCAACTTCTTCCTGGTTTAGTCTTGGGAGAGTGTATGTGTCGAGGAATGTAACCATTTCTTCTAGATTTTCTAGTTTATTTGCGTAGAGGTGTTTGTAGTATTCTCTGATGGTAGTTTGTATTTCTGTGGGATCGGTGCTGATATCCCCTTTATCATTTTTTATTGTGTCTATTTGATTCTTCTCTCTTTTTTTCTTTATTAGTCTTGCTAGCGGTCTATCAATTTTGTTGATCCTTTCAAAAAACCAGCTCCTGGATTCATTGATTTTTTGAAGGGTTTTTTGTGTCTCTATTTCCTTCAGTTCTGCTCTGATTTTAGTTATTTCTTGCCTTCTGCTAGCTTTTGAATGTGTTTGCTCAGGACATAGGCGTGGGCAAGGACTTCATGTCCAAAACACCAAAAGCAATGGCAACAAAAGACAAAATTGACAAATGGGATCTAATTAAACTAAAGAGCTTCTGCACAGCAAAAGAAACTACCATCAGAGTGAACAGGCAACCTACAAAATGGGAGAAAATTTTCGCAACCTACTCATCTGACAAAGGGCTAATATCCAGAATCTACAATGAACTCAAACAAATTTACAAGAAAAAAACAAACAACCCCATCAAAAAGTGGGCGAAGGACATGAACAGACACTTCTCAAAAGAAGACATTTATGCAGCCAAAAAACACATGAAGAAATGCTCATCATCACTGGCCATCAGAGAAATGCAAATCAAAACCACTATGAGATATCATCTCACACCAGTTAGAATGGCAATCATTAAAAAGTCAGGAAACAACAGGTGCTGGAGAGGATGCGGAGAAATAGGAACACTTTTACACTGTTGGTGGGACTGTAAACTAGTTCAACCATTGTGGAAGTCAGTGTGGCGATTCCTCAGGGATCTAGAACTAGAAATACCATTTGACCCAGCCATCCCATTACTGGGTATATACCCAAATGAGTATAAATCATGCTGCTATAAAGACACATGCACACGTATGTTTATTGCGGCACTATTCACAATAGCAGAGACTTGGAACCAACCCAAATGTCCAACAATGATAGACTGGATTAAGAAAATGTGGCACATATACACCATGGAATACTATGCAGCCATAAAAAATGATGAGTTCATATCCTTTGTAGGGACATGGATGAAATTGGAAACCATCATTCTCAGTAAACTATCGCAAGAACAAAAAACCAAACACCGCATATTCTCACTCATAGGTGGGAATTGAACAATGAGATCACATGGACACAGGAAGGGGAATATCACACTCTGGGGACTGTGGTGGGGTCGGGGGAGGGGGGAGGGATAGCATTGGGAGATATACCTAATGGTAGATGACACATTAGTGGGTGCAGCGCACCAGCATGGCACATGTATACATATGTAACTAACCTGCACAATGTGCACATGTACCCTAAAACTTAGAGTATAATTAAAAAAAAAAAAAAAAAAGTTAGAATAAAGAATATCATTGACACCATAAAAAAAAAAAAAGAAAAGGTAAACGACAAATGTTTTGTCAGACTAAGAAAAAAAGAGAAAATTCACATATAATCAGAGATGAAAAAGGATATACTATGATAGACTCTAGAGAAATATAAGGAACCATGAGTAAGTACTACAAACAATTATATGCCAATAAATTGAAAAACTTAGAAGAAATACGTACGCTCTGGACACATATAACCTATCAAAATTGAAGAAAGAAGAAATAGAAAATGTGAACACACCAATGACAACTAATGAGATTGAAGGAGCGATTTAGGCTCTCAGTCAAGGAAAATCCAAAAGACTTCACACAGTAGCTCACACCTGTAATCTCACAGTTTAGGAGCCCAAGGCAGGAGAATCACCAGAGGCCAGGAGTTCAAGATTAGCCTGGGCAACACAATGAGACTCCATCTCTAAAAATAAAAATAAAAATTATCCAAGTATAGTGGTGTGTATTTGTACTCAGGAGGCTGAGGCAGGAGGATCACTTAAGACCAGGAGTTTGAGGCTGCAGTCAGCTATGACTGCACCACTGTATGCCAGCTTCAGTGATAGAGTGAGACCCTGTCTCTAAAAAAATAGAGGAAGAAAGAAAAGTTCATGACTTGGTGGTTTTCGCTGACAAATTCTACAAAACATTTAAAGAACTTATACAAATTTTTTACAAACTATTTCAAAAAAATGAAAAGGAGGGAACTCTTCCAAACTCATTCTATGAAGACAGCATTTCCTAATTCCAAAATGAGACAAGAACAGCAAATAAAAGAAAACTCCAGGCCAATATCATTGATAAACATAGATGCAAACATTCAAAACCAGCAGTTATAGCAATGATAATTCAAAAGCACATTATAAAGATTATTCACCATAATCAAATGGTATTTACCCAGGGAGGTAAGGATAGTCTAATACATGTAAATCAATAAAATGTGATACATCACATTAAACAATGAAGGATAAAAAATAATCATTTCAATAGATGCAGAAAAAGCCTTTGACAAAATTAGACATCTTTTATGATCAAACCTTTTAACAAATTAGTTATAAAAGAACACAATAAAATAAAGACCATATGTGATAACCCACAGGCAACATTATTCTGAATGGTGAAAACTTGAAAGTTTTGCCTCTAGGATCTGGAAGAAGACGAGGATGTTCACTTTAATCACTTTTTTCAACATAGTAATGGAAGTCCTAGTCCGAACAATTAGGTAAGAGAAAGAAATAAAAGGCATCCAAGTGGAAAAAAAAAGTCAAATTATCCCTCTTTGCAGATGACATGATCATATATGTAAAAAACCGTAAATACACCACTGAGAATCATAAATAGTAAATGAACACAATAAGCTTTCAGGATAAAAAAGCAACATAAAAAATCAATAACATCTCTATACACCAATAGCAGACTATCTGAAAAAGGAATCAAGAAAGTAATCCCATTTAAAATAGCTATTAAAAAAACAAAATACCTAAAAATAAATTAAGCCATGGAAAGATGAAAATTATTAAACATTGATAAAAGCAATTAAAAATTAAAATAAATAGAAAGATATCCCATGTTCACAGACTAGAAGAATTAATATTGCTGAAATGACCATACTACTCAAATCAATCTATAAATCCAATATAATATCTATCAAATTTCCAATTTCATTCTTCACGGATATTAAAAAAATCTTAAAATCCATGTGAAACTACAAAACACCCCAAATAGCCAAATAAATCTTAATCAAAAAGAGCAATGCTAGAGGATTTACACTATCTAATTTCAAAATATATTACAAAGCTATCCTAACTAAAACAGCATGGTATTGGCATAAAAACAGGCATGTAGACCAGTGGAACAAAAATAGGGGGCCCAGGCATAAATCCACATATTTACATGCAACTTATTTTTGACAAAGTTGCAAACATTCAATGGGGAAAAGACAGTATTTTCAACAAATGGTGCTGGGAAAAGTGCATATCCACATATAGAAGAATGAAAGTAGACCACTATCTCTCATCATACACAACAATCAACTCAAAATAAATTAAATATTTAAATTTAAGACACCAAACTATGAAACTAGTAGAAGAAAACAGGTGAAATGTTATATGTCATTGGTCTGGGCAAGGACTTTTTAGAAAAGACATCAAAAGACATGCACAACAAAAGCAAAAATAAAGAAATGGGATTACACCAAATAAAAACTTCTGCACTGCATAGGAAACAATCACAAGAGTGAAGAGACAACCTATAAAATGGGAGAAAATATCTGCAAACTATTCACTTCATAAGGGGTTAATATCCCAAATTTATAGAAAACTCAAACAACTCAACAGCAAAAATACAAATAATTGGATTAGAAAATAGTCAAGAGAGCTGAATAGACATTTCTCCAAATTAGATAAAAAAATCACTAACAGGTGAAAAAATGCTCACCACCACTAATAATCAGAGAAATGCAAGTCAAATCCACAGTAAGATGCTATCTCACCCTGCTTAGAATGCTTTTTTATGAAAAAGTCAAAAAATAACAAATGCTGGCAAGGACGTGAAGAAAGGGGAATGTTCATATACTGTTGGTGGAAATGTAAATTAGAGCAATTTTTATGGAAAACAATATAACTTCCAAAAACATTAAAAATAGACTTATCACATAATCCAGCAATCCCACTACTGGGTATATATTCAAAGAATATTAAATCAGTATGTCAAAGAGATTTCTGGACTCTCATGTTTATTACAGCATTATTCACAATAGCCTAGAATCAACCTAAGTGTCCATCAATGAAAGAATGGATAAAGAAAATGTGGTATATATGTTGTATTTGGCCATTCTTGCATTCCTATAAAGAAATATCTGAGATTGGATAATTTATAAGAAAAGAGACTTAATTGGCTCCTGGTTCCATGGGCTGTACAGGGAGTATAGTGCCAACATCTGCTTGACTAGTCAGGAAGCTTGAGAACTCGTTCAACATCATGAGGATAGCACCAAGCCATGAGGGATCCACCTCCACGACCCAAACACCCCCTACCAGGCCCCATCTCTAACAGTGGGGATTACAATATAACATAAGATATGGGTCAGGGAAAATATCCAAACTATATCATATGCACATGTGGCCATAAAAAAGGGTAAAATCGTGTCACTTGTGACAACATGAATGATCATAGAGGACATTGTGGCAAGTGAAATAATCTAAACACGGTAAGACAAATATCACATGATCTCATTCATATGTGAAATGTAAAAACACTGATCTAATAGAGAGTAGAAGAGTGGTTGCCAGACTGGGAAAGATAGGGAGGAGAGGTTTTAACAATGTGTCATGTATCAAAATACCACATTGTACCCCATCAACATGTGAAATTACCATGTATCCACTTAATAAAAGAAAAGAAAAAAGAAAATGGAAGAGTCAAGATACTGGGGCACTGGAAGAGATAGAAGAGAAGGTAAATCGGCAGTAAGGAAGAGAGAGTCTGAAAGAGCAGGTCACAGAGTGGAACATTAAAGTTTATAACAATAGAAATCAATTTTTAAGTTATTGAAAAGTTAAGTTTATAGCCATGAAAGTGAGTAGCTCAACTGAAGTGAAAGTAAAAGTCAATGAAATATTAAATTAGAAAATACATTGCTTGGCATTTAATAGTTACTTCAGAAATATTAATAAATCTTAAGAAAATTAAGAACACCAAAGCATTCATAGTGGGCCATTATCATAATATGAATTTATGTGGTAATATCTTATTCTTTCCAGTGAAGGGAGTAATTCAACAGTCTTGATTATAGGTTAGAAAATGATTTCTCCAGGTGTGACCCACTGACCACATTCAATGTATTTTAATTGCTTGAGCAATTTGTTTCAGGAGAAAACGGAAAGATTTTAAGATGGACCAATGAAATTACCACTGAGTGTCTTTAATGGAAATCTCAGCCTTGTCTAGAATAACCTGGGTTATCTGTTTCTATGGGGTCTCTGTGCCTTTTGTTTTCTTTGTTATTTGCAATTCTGTTAGTTGTAGATTACTGATAGTAATGCAAATATTCTTATCTATAGACAGGCAAATGATTGATTTTGGTGGAAGTATAATTAATTTCCCTTTTTCCACCTTCCATCAAGAAGTCAGTTTTGAACCTATCAAGCAAATTTATTTCAGTGTTCCTTAGTGCCTAGATATGTGTGGCACTTAATTTTCCATAAAACTCAGTATAACATCTTACTGGCTCCCTCATTAAATAAATGAGTTAAACAAAAATCTTAGACAAGTGTTCATTTTATATTTGCAAGTCATAATTTACCCAATTTTAAGCAATTTTCCTTTATCATTCCTAAAAATACAGATTCCTATGTCCCATGATAGACCTATTGAATCAAAATCTCAGGCCTAAGGCACAAGAATTTACATTGTTAGTAAGGTTTTCAAGTGATTTTTAGGCTTCTAAATTGTATTAACCTTTACCATTCTAATTCTTTAAACTTGAATTATTGTATTTATAATTCCATCTTCATCAAAGTAAACTTTTGGTTAGCAAAAACCGTAGAAATCCCCTTATTCAATCAGATTGGGACCAGTAATAAACAGATTAATCACAAATTTAAGTTAGATGGAGGAATCATAAGAAGTATTCGATGTAAGTCCTTAAAACTTAACTTTAATTTAAAAGACTTGTGCAAATAAATTTGCCAGAATTTTGATGACAAGGTCAAAGCCTTGCACGGATTCAGAGTGAAGTTTCTTGTGGAAACTATGCCAATGATATGTTGTCATGGATTTCTTGTTTACTTTCTGTGAAGACAACTGGGGTAAAGCAATCTGAAATCCTAGATTACACAATTTTTCCCATTTGTTTCTAGTTGTCTTGCCAACAGTTAAGGTGACAGCAACTGTTTGAGTTTCTCATTTTTCCAACACATTTAGTTTATTTCTCAAAGAAACAACAATACTAATCTTGTTATACTCATTTTCTCAGTTTACATAATATTTATTTATTTATTTATTTATTTATTTATTTATTTTGAGACAGAGTCTCGCACTGTCACCCAGGCTGGAGTGCAGTGGTGTGATCTCTGCTCACTGCAAGCTCCGCCTCCCGGGTTCATGCCATTCTCCTGCCTCAGCCTCCTCAGTAGCTGGGAGTACAGGCACCCGCCACCACGCACAGCTAATTTTTTTGTATTTTCAGTAGAGACGAGATTTCACCGAGTTAGCCAGGATGGTCTCGATTTCCTGACCTAGTGATCCGCCCGTCTCAGCCTCTCAACATAATATTTAATTAAATCGCATAACTACAAGAACAAGAACAAATGGTGTAAACATATTTAGGAATGAACACAGCTTCCTCTTAGAAACTATACAATTTCTGTGATGGAAGGAGAAATGTACAGGCATTAAAAGCAGCTCAAAGGCTTTCAGTTTGCAGTGGACATCAGTCAGTAAGTTGTACAGGGGTACCAGAAAGTGCTGATTGCAAATCAGTTAAGTGGAGGTCAGTTAAGGCAGCATCCACTGTATCTTAATTCATAAAGTGAATGATCTAAAACTGGGTTCACTTTTGCTATAAAGGACCAGATGATAAATATTTTAGGCTTTGCAAACCATACGGTCTCTATAGCAACCATTCAACTGTACCATTGTATCAGGAAAGCACCATAGATCCATGGATGTGCTCCAATAAAACTTTATTAAAACAGGCAGCTGGTCTGAGAGTCATGTATATATCTTGCTGTTTTCATACAATTTTCTAAGTTAGTAGTTCCCTGCCTTTTTAACAATCAAGGATTACTTTTAATCCTCTCCTCTGATTTTATGTTTCAAAAGCCTTAACAAAAACCCACAAAATATATTTATTTTGTAATTTTGGGGGGGTTCTTATTATACTAATAAGTAATCAATGATATATAAAGGCTACCCATTAGGTCAGTATGAAATAATCAACATTATTAACTCTAATGACTTCGTTCTGGATAGAAATAAAAAGTATTCAACTATATATATATAACTTAAAACCTGTATAGTTTTTCTGGCATAAATATATAACTTCTCGAGATTTTTCAAGTATTAAATACAACTTTTGGGAATCCTCACACCTGGCTCCCTATGATGACATTCAAGAATTCCTTAGGATTCTGGGAATCTTAGAATGAAAGTCACTGCTCTGTAGGAATGAATGAATAAGAAAGGGAAGGAAGAAGAAAGAGCATGTGTACTAAATGTAAATTAATCATTAAGGAATGTTTATTTTATTAATAAATTTGTCAACTTTAGTTTGCCAAATCTAACAAGATACCAACATGGCATTCATGGTGATCACACCTCTAGTCAAATTTTATTTTAGTTCATTGACTATAATATTAATATCCTGAAATACTCAAAAATTCTGTCTTAATTCTGTGAATAATTCACTTATTAATCACTCTATACACTACTTAATGAATGGAATGGTGCTTGGAATAAAGATAATTACAGGGCTAAAAGGGTTTTCTCTAGAGGCAGTTATAGAATTTTGTTGTCTGACTGGAATAAAACAAAATTAATCAATATTTTCTGCAACCAGTGGCTTTTGACTTAGTCATCTATTAATATCTATCAATCCCTATAACCTCAGTCCTATTTCCTCCATTCTTCTTTTTTTATCATAAAAACTTGTCCATTTTTTTCCTGTTAGATCTATATGTTTCTCCTCTTTTCTTTTCATCCAAACAACTGGACATCAGCTTAGTACAGAGAGTGCAATTGATCCGAACCCTACATAACTCACTGTTTCCATTTACATAACTTACATAACTGCAAGCTGAAATCACTATCACTCTAAAATTTTTTTAATTCAAAATTTTAATTTCATTTAATCATATTTATTTATTCATTAATTATTTTGAAAATAATTTTAACTTGTATTTTACATTCAGGGGTACATGTGCCAGTTTGTTACATGGGTATATCTCATAATGCTGAGTTTTGGGGTATGAATGATCCCAATCATCCAGATGCTGATTTGGTATGGTTTGACTCTGTGTCCCCACCCAAATCTCATGTTGAATTGTAATTCCCAATGTAGGGGGAATGACCTGGTGGGAGGTGATTAGCTCAAGAGGGCAGATTTCCCCCTTGCTCTTCTTAGATGGTAAGTGAGTTCTCATGAGATCTGATGGTTTAAACATATGGCACATCCCCCCTGGCTCACTTGCTCTCCTGTCACCATGGTAGAATGTGCCTTGCTTCCCCCTTCACCTTCTGCCATGATTGTAAGTTTCCTGAAGCCTCCCAGCCATGCTTCCTGTACAGCCTGTGGAACTGTGAGTCAGTTAAACCTCTTTTCTTTATAAATTACCCAGTCTTGGGTAGTTCTATATAGCAGTGTGAGAACAGATTAATACATGAGCATAGTACCCAATAGTTAGTTTGTCAAACCTTGCCTTCCTCCTTCTCCCCTCTAGTAGTCCCGGTGTTTATTCTTTCCATCTTTATGTCCATGAATACCCAGTGTTTAGCTCCCACTTATAAGTGAGATAATGTGGTATTTCGTTTTGTATTCCTGCATTAATTTACTTAGGATAATGGCCTTCAGCTGCATCCATGTTGCTTCAAAGGACATAAGTTTGTTATTTTTATGGCTGCATAGTATTCCATGGTGTGTGAAATGGTTTGGAAGGTGGCCCCTATAAATCTCATGGTGAAATGTAATCCTCAGTGTTGGAGGTGGCGCCTGGTAGGAGGTGTTTGGGTCACGGGGGTGGATCTCTAATGCCCTGATGCTGTCCTTGTGATAGTGAATTCTTTCAAGATCTGGTTGTTTAAGGGTGTGTGGTACTTAACCCCACTCCCATTCTCTCTTGCTCCTGCTCTGGCCATGTGATGTGCCTACTCTCTCTTCACCTTCCATCATGAGTAAAAGCTCCCTGGAGACTCCACAGACGCCATGCAGATGCCGTCACCATGCTTCCTGTACAGACTGCAGAGCTATGAGCCAATTAAATCTCTTTTCCTTATAATTTACCCAGTCTCAGGTATTTCTTCATAGCAATGTAAGAATGGCCTAATAATACTGTGTGGATGTACCACATTTTATTGATCCAATCCATTGTTGATGGGCACCTAGGCTGACTCCATGTCTTTGCTATTGTGAATAGTGCTGCGATGAACATGCAAGTGCATATGTCTTTTTGGTAGAATAACTGATTTTCTTTGGGTCATATACCAGTAATGGAATTGTTGGCTTGAAAGGTAATTCTATTTTAAATTCTCTGAGAAATTTCCAAACTGCTTTCAACAGTGGCTGAACTAATTTACATTCACACCAATTATGTGTAAATGTTCCCTTTTCTCCACAGCCTCCCAAGATCTGTTGTTTTTCGATTTTTTTAATAGTAGCTATTCTGACTGGTATAGGATGGTATCTCATTTTGGTTTTGATTTGCATTTCTCTGATGATTAGTGATGTTAAGCCTAATCTTTACCACCAGAAAACTGGGAAAATACAGTGTCGCTTGTCAAAATAAATTGTTTTACTTTGCTTTAAAAATAATCAATTGAGTAGTATATTTCTTCCAGCAAAATTAAGAAGTAAACATTTAGAAATGTACAGTACCTTGCCGTTAAGTGTTCACACAAGTATACCAATCGAACATAAAGGCCACCTTAAACTTTCATTTGAAATGAAAGACAATTTTTAAGAGGTTAAGGGCTAGTAATTTGTTAAAATCCTGAAGTTAAATTAGCTCAGGTAAATACAAAGACTTTCCTTTAATTAAAGCCTTTTAAATGAACGGTTTAAAGCATAGTTGGTTTCTCCGTCAAATATTGTCCAAAGCCACTGTTTACAACTCAGTATATCAAAGAAGTTTTCAGACATGATTATGAAGCTCCCTCAACTTACAATGTGCTATTTGCAACCTTAGATGCTATAATTCTGGCTTTTCTACCTTTTAGCAACAATAAGCACACCCTTCCCATTACTCCCCCACCCTAACTTACCCCTCTTTGCATTTAATATATAATTTTTCTCAGAGTGTTCTTACACATCTTTGACTGCAAATATGACAAAAACACACAGTATAATACATGTGCCACATGTATAAATGTTGTATCTAGTCATACAATTTCCTTTTAAAACAGAAATATTTTATTTTCAAAAAGCAAAGACTCTAGGAATCTTTTCTAGCTGCCAGTCATAAAAACATAAATTCCTGGTTAGATTCCAAAATTTGTCTGACCATAAGAACCACTTGTGATGCTTGTCAAACATATGTATTCTGAGTCCCATCCGTGATCTCCGGAATCAGAATCAGCAGGTGAGAGGCCTGGGAATACACATTTTAAACAAACGTCCACAGTGATTACGACTAGTAAAGCTTGAAAAAAATTTCACTAGGATCTTTATGACTGAATAACCTCACAAACATAGGAAAGTTACTGAAGAAAAATACGAGCAGAATTTCAGAATTCTGCCTTTGCTGAAAGTGTTTGTTCCCTCCTCTACTCATCAAGACCTGACTGCTTATGTAACTCCCCCAAACCACCAACACCTGGAAGGAGTTGAAAATGATTTTCATGAAGAAGAAAAGCTGATGTTTAATTTCAAAACTGACGGTGACAATAGAAGGGAGAGGCATGAATTTATCTTGATTCTAACACAAAGCATTGTATTTGAGTCTGCAAACGAAATTGGTTTCATTTTTATTTTTTGTAAGTTTTCGCAAAACTCTGTGCATATATAGAGGCTGGGCAAGAAAGAAAGAAATCCAGAAAAATGGCATATGCCATCCCTTATTTATTTCCCCATGCGACCAGCCAACAGCTTCTTCACCTAGTCCCTGCTTCAAGCTGACTTTCTGTCTACTCCTCTATCGGAAATGGAGCTTCCCTAAAGACTGCCTCAGTGTCAGTTACCCAAAGGCCTTTTTCCCATCTTGTGCTCCTAAACTTCTATGATATTAAATGATATTACCCTTTCTGGAAATTCTCCTTAGCTTTGATTTTATAATTTTACTCTAACTCTGTTTCATTCCTTCTTTTATAGCCTTTCTTTTCTCTATCCCTTTACTGCAGACATGTTGTAGGGCTTTGTTCTTGACCTTCTGATCTCTCCACATTCATTCCCTCAGAGCATGTATCCATTTTCTTTGTGTCGGCCTTCCTGACTATCTGATTATTACCATCATATAACGATGTTGGTGATGAGCATAGCTAACATATCCCAGGCATTTTCCATGTAGGTTATAATAAGCACCCTATATAATTCGTACCATTTAATTCTTCAACCCTAAATGATACTATTACTAACCACATTGTATGAGATGAGGAAACTGAGATTTTCATCAAAACAATGAAAACCCAACGTGAGAAGCCCCTGTGTGTCTCCTTTGTTAATGCCTCTGGGCATCATGGCATGTGGACTGCGGTGGAATGGGGATTAGGAAGTGCAGCACTGTGAAAACACCAGAAAATATGATAACGGGTAAGGACGTTCATCTCTGCACATTGACATGGTTTTGTTTCTGAGTCAGGTTTGAGGTGAGCCAATCCTGACTCCATGGTGCCACCAGGGATCACAAATTTAATAAGATCTTCGTGGATGCTTGGAACCCAACTGGTCTGTTTTCTACTTTAGGGAAAGAGCCACAGCTTGAGTGGGGTGGTTTTGGTGTCACATATGCTATCAATAATACCCATCGTTTTGGTGTCACATACGCGATTAATAATACCCACCGCTGCAGAGGAATCACCGTGGACTACTCCTCGTTGCATCCCATGCTCTTGCGATGGATCCCTCTCACCTGTTTACTGATTTCATTCAAATTCTTCAGCGACCACAGGACCCCGACTTGCCTTCTCTATCCTGGTTCCCATCACTCTGCTTTACAGGCCTGGCCTGCTCGCGGCTCCTCACACCAGCGCTGCACGGCTCCCTCCACGCCTCTGCCCTGTTTCCTCCATCAGACAGGGCTAGCTTCCTCCATCTCTATCGGGCAAAAGCCTGCCCAGCCTTCAAGACCCTCCTCAGATGCCGCCTCCACGATTAGGCTTCTTCCTGAGCCCTGAGCCTGTAACACGCGCCTGTAACTCTCCACCTCAGCCCACATTCCCACAGCACTCGCGACGTCTGCGGCCCTCAACATGGCGCTTCATTCTATTTCAGGGTATTCCCTGCTTGTTTCCTGCACACACAGTCGCGCGAGGCACAGCCCCGAGTGACCCGCGCACGAGTGGCCCGCGCTTCCAGACGCGCCGCCGCAGGCCGACGAGGGAAGCCTGAGCCGCTTCCCGCCCCCGCGGAGACCGTCGCCAGCCCGCAGCTCTAGCGGGAGGCGGTTCCACAGCGCGCCCGGCAGCCCCGCCACCGTCAGCACCGGCGCCTCGGGCGGGCTTTCCCCACCTCTGGGAGGCACGAATCCTCAAGTGCTCCTCAAGAGGACGCCAGGGAACAGCTGTGTGTGGACACCTTTCGGCCCTCTGTGGCTGCCATAGCTCCCACCCCCCCGGGGCAGAAAACCGGAAGTGGAAATCTCAGCCATTCAGCGTTTGGGTGAAGACGGAGGCGGGTTCTGGACAGACGTACGCTGTCAGGGAGTGTTTACTTTGCCTCCACTTCTGTTCCTCCCCGCCCTGGTGCTGCTCCGGGTCACATACTCGTCCTGAGCCGGCTTCAGCCTCTCCGCGCAGAAGTGTCCCGGAGCCATGGCCGAGTACTCTTATGCGAAGTCTACCAAGCTTGTGCTCAAGGGAACCAAGACGAAGAGGTGGGTCCTGCACCTCCGGCGGGAGCCTCCTCAGTTCTTTTCGGACGCACTCCACCCCCCTCGAATCCGGTGGAAGCCGTGGCGCGGAGAGCCGGCTTTGTGGCCTCCCAGGCTTCGCCCTGGCCCCTGTCCGGGCTGGACGGAGGCCGGACCGCAGTTCCTGGCGCCTGTGCAGAGAGGGGCAGCCTCCCGCACTGACGACCCTGGAAACAGGATAGACGGGCGGGTGACCCGTGGCCCCGTACCCACGAGTTTCAGTCCTCTGAGGCATCTCTGCAGGCCTCTGCCTGGTGGGTCTCCGTTAGTCTAATCTTGTAGTTCATGATAATAACTTCCTTTATTAGGGATTATTCTTTTCTCCATTGTCTCTTCCTGGAAAAATTATTGATTAATTTTTTCTAAGCTAATATGTAGAGTGAAACCAGGAAATTGGTTAATATGTCTGAACTTCCATTTACTCATTAAGAGATCAAATATCTTTGAACCTCCGTTTATACATTTATACTTTCAGACCATTTTTTATACCTTTAGAAGACTGTGAGGATTAAATGAGAGAACATATATGCAGTAAATAAATTGAGCCAAATGTGAGGAGGTCGTAGTGGTAATTTATTAGCTCTTTAGGAGAAAAATACCTGTGCATTCATATCCCCGTTTCTTTTTTAACTGGCATATTTGCCTGAGGTTGACTGTACATGCAAATATTGAGCATTTCCTCCTGGTCTCCGTGATAAACAAAGGTTTTGATATTGTTAGGCGAGATGGAAAGAAAGTATCAAGGAGTGAGCTGAAGCCACTGCCCTTGAGAACCCTCTCGAGGAGTCTGGCCTCATGAAGATGCCAGAATAAACGGCAGGTATATCCTGAATGAATGTGAGATTTTTACTCTGTGAATTTCCTGTGAGGAGTGGTGAGTTATCTTCTGAAAACTTTATGATGAAAATGCATACAAGAGTGTCTTAAGATTATCGTAATAATCATAATTAATGCTCATATAGCACTTTCAATACGCCAAGAAATTGTTGTAGGCACTTTGCACATTAACTTTTTTCAAATCGCTCTTGGGTTTTTATTTTTTTATTGCGATGTAATTCATAATTATAAAATTCACCATTCTGTACAGTCAGTGGTTTTTAGTATATATTCAAGAGGTTCACCACTGTCTAGTTGCTCAGCATTTTCATCATCTCAGAAGAATCTCTTCCTACCCATTAAAGCAGTCACATCCCATCCTCCCCCTCTCCTAGTCCTTGGCAACCACTAGTCTGCTATCTATGTGAAATTGCCTATTCTGAATATTTCCTAAGAAATCATGCAACATGTGGCCTTTTGTATCTGGCTTCTTTCACTTATAACATTCTTGAGGTCCATCATTGTTGTAGCACTTGTTCCTTTTTATGACTGCGTAGTATTCCATTGTATGGATGTAACATTTTGTTCATCCATTCATCAGTTGATGAACATTTAGGTTGTTTCCCCTTTTTGACTATTGTGACTAATGCTAGTGTGAATATTCTTATGTAAGTATTTTTGTGGGTGTATGTTTTCATTTCCCTTGGGAATACATACTTAGGAGTAAAATTGCTGGGTCATATGGTAACTCTTTAACTTTTTGAGGAACCCTAAACTGTTTCCTGTAGATGCTGCACCATTTTACATTTCTACCAGCAATGTGTGAAGATACATATTACCTCTTAATCCTCACAATAGCCTTAAGAATTAAGTTGCTATCCTAATTTTTTAAGTGGGAAACTGACTCACAGAGAGATTCAGTACCTTTTCCAAAAATCACAGAGCTAAGAAGTGACAGAATCGGGATATAAAATCTGGCAGTGTGGCTCTACAATCTGCTTTGAACTTTAACATAATATGTACAAAGCCTGAAGCAACTTCTCAGTACTGTATTTAAGAGGGCATAGCAATGTAAGTCTTCCTAAATCAATAATTTATAAATGTAACAGCTTAAAAGACTTCCAAGTTTCAATCTTACAATATTTATTTATCACACAAGTCAATATATCTAAACTCATCTGTATAAATTATGTCCTGTAGTAAGAAGAAAAAGAGCAAAGAGAAGAAGAGAAAAAGAGAAGAAGATGAAGAAACCCAGTTTGATATGTTGGTGAGTCAGTTTTCAGTGCTTTATTCTGAAAAAAGTTAACATTTGTTGAGATCTCATTGAAAATATTTTCCTAGTTAGAAATTTATGATGTACTCATATTAGTCTTAAAGTGCTTAAATATTACCTACAGTTGTAAATTCCATTTATTCTTTAGCACAGTAGATGCTACTGATCCCTTTACTTCATTATCAGAACAGAGCACAGGAGAGAATTACAACTCTCTGACTTAGTAGGCAACATTAGACTGCTTAATAGCCGGAAATTCTGATACATAATTATAAAGGCTTAATGTAAATGTTATTCAACGAACTATATTTTACAAGTTATTTTCTTTGAACATGTATAACTTTTAGTTGTAGAAGTCAGTTGTCTCTTAAACGAAGTATCTTCACAGGAAAAATCATTATTTTGTGAACTCTGAAATGAATGAAAATTTTAAATACAGTATCAGGGTAGCCTGTAAATGATACTAGAAATAAACTGGCCCAAACACACTTAACCAGCCTGTTTTCTGTTTAGCTGTTTCCATACTTTTTTTTTCTCTTTTAAAACTTGGCAAGTTGCATTTTGAATCTTCATAAATTATGGTAGCTTAAAAAATATATAAAATATGGAATGGTAGAAAGCTAATGTTCTGGAAGGATCATTGCTTTTGAAATGGCAATTCAACAATTCTAAAATTAGGGTAAATATCTAGGGTAGATATATAGATGTGGAATTGCTGTGTCAAAGGATAGGTGAATGTTTAACTATGTAAGAAACTGCCAAAAATTTTCTAAAGTGGTTGTGCTATTTTACCCTCCCACCAAGAATTAATTAGTTCTCCAGTTACATCCTTGCCAAGAGTTAATGGTGTTATCAGTCTTTTCTCCCAGTCTGAGTTTTACCTTTTCAGTTTCTTAATGGTGGTTTTTGGATGGACAGCTTTTTTTTTTTTTTTTTTTTTTGAGATGGAGTCTCGCTCTGTTACCCAGGCTGGAGGGCAGTGGCGCAATCTCGGTTCACTGCAAGCTCCACCTCCCAGGTTCACGCCATTCTCCTGCCTCAGCCTCCCAAGTAGCTGGGACTACAGGCACCTGCCACCACGCTCAGCTAATTTTTTGTGTTTTTAGTAGTGACAGCGTTTCACCATGTTAGCCAGGATGGTCAGAAGCTTTTAATTTTTATAAAGCTTAGTTTATTTTTTAATTTTATGGTTACTGCCTTATCTCTTTGATCTAAGAGATCTTTGCTTACCCCAAAGTCAGGAAAATATTCTACATTGTCTTTCAGAGACATCATAGTTTTAGTTTTTACATTAAATCTGTCATTAATCTCAAATTAATTTTTGGCATGGTGTGAGTTTGGTTTCAAGATTTACTTTTTTTTTTAACATCTTGATAGCCATTTGTGCTAGCACCACTGGTGTTTCCTTTTTGCATTAATCCAGTTTCATATCTTCATAAAAAATCAATTAACTTTCTATGTATTGGTCTATTTCTGGACTCTGTTCTATCGATTGTCTGTTTTTCTGTTGGTATATTTCTCTTGATTTCTATAATTTCATGAAGTCTTGAGATCAGGTAGTATGTGCTCCAACTTTGTACTTACTAACTATTAGTTTATTAATTTCTACAGTGAAGCCTGTTGGATTTTCTCGGAGAATTGTATTGAGTCCAGATCATTTGGGGCGAGAATCAACATCTTAATATTGGGCCTCAATATTTCATAATTTTCAATGTAGCAGTATTGCATGCCTGTTTAAAAATTTATTCTTAAGTATTTTATAATTTGACACTACTGTCAGTAGAACTTTTGAATTTGATTTTCCAGTTGTTTGCTGTCAGTATGTAGATATACAATTGATTTTTGTATAGTGACTTTATAGTCTGATAACGTCTGTTTCACTTATTACTTCTAGTGGTTTGTTTATATAGAACACTAAGAAATTTGCAGTTATGTTTCCTGTGACTATCATTTTACTTCTTTCTTTCTAATCCTTATGTCTTGTCTTGCTTTTTATTGGTTTATTATACTGTCCAGGACTTCCATAGTGTTGAACAGAAGTCATGAGAATGGGCATAATTGCATTGTTTCCAAGCTTAGGCAGAAAGCTTTCAGTAGTCCACCATATGGTATGATGTCTGTAGGAACTGCAGAGAAAACCTTTATCAAAATGAAGACATTCCTTTTAAACTTTATTTCTTGGGAGTTTTTATCATAAGGATGTTTAATGCTGTCAAGTGCCTCTTTCTGTATCAGTTGAGATGATTACACAACTTTCTTCATTCTGCCAATGAATTACATTGGTTTCATTTTCAACTTTTAAACTCACTTTACATCCCTGAGATAAACCCCACTTGGTTGTGGTGCGTTGTCCTTTGGGATATTGCTAGAGTTGATTTCTAGGTGCTTTTTTTTTTTTTTTTTAAGATTTCTATATTGGTGTTGATGGGAGATATTGGACTTTTGTATCCTTTTCTTGTAATGGCTTTATTTGATTTTGGTGTCAAGGTGATATTGGGTGTCATAAAATTACATGGGAATTGCTGTCTCCTTCCCTGTTTTTGGAAATAGCTGTGTAAGATAGGTATGATTCTTCTTTACATGTTTGATAGGATTTACCAGTGAAGTCATCTGAACCTAGAGGGTTTTCTTTGGTTTGGTTTTTGTTTTTGTGGGAGAATTAAGATTTTTTAAGAGATATTTTCAGATTTTTCTGTTGTCGGTTTTGGTAATTTGTGTCTTTTAGGAAAATTTCATTTCATCCAAGTTGTTGGATTTATTGGCATAAAATTGTTCAGAATATTCCTTTAATATCCTTTTAATGTCTGTAGAATCTAATCTGTATTGCAGTCTCTTCATATTGGTAATTTGTGTTTTTTTCCATTTTTTCCTGGCTCAGTTAGTCTAGCTGGAGGTTTATCAATTCTTTATAAGATCATTTATTTTAGATCATTAATGATCTTTTAATACAGAGTTATTCAATCTTTTAGCTTCCCTGGGCCACAATGGAAGGAGAATTGTCTTGTGCCACACATAGAATACACTAATGATAAGCTGATGAGCCAAAAAAAAAAAAAAAAGCAAAAAAATCTCATAATGTTTCAAGAAAGTTTATGAATTTGTGTTGGGCTGTATTCAAAGCTGGCCTGGGCCACATGCAGCCCTTAGGTTGGACAAGCCTGTTTCAGTATTACTTATTTTCTCTTTTTTTCATGTTTTATTTCATTTATTTTCAGCCTTTTTTTCCCTCCATTTAACTTATTTTCAGTTTACTTTGCTCTTGTTTTATTGCTTCTTAAGAAGGGAGTTGGATCTCTTCATTCCATGTTAGTTTTAGTTATAGTCAACACATTTTGTTTTCATTTTCATTCCATTCAAAATATCATCCAGTTTTCCTTGTGATTTTTCTTTTCATGGACACTAGAGTTATTTAAAAGTGTATTGTTTTTAATTTCTACTACATAGAGATATTATAGGTATGTTATTGTTGCTGATTTCTAATTCATTTATAGTATAGTTGGAAAACATACTTTCTTAGTAAATTTCCATGTACACTTGAAAATAATGTGTATTCTGCAGTTTTGGTTCAGAGTTTTGTTTTTGTTTTTTTTTTTTTTTGGAGATGAAGTGTCACTCTGTTGCCCAGCAGGCTGGAGTGCAGTGGCGTGATCTCGGCTCACTGCAGCCTCCGCCTCCCAGGTTCAAGTGATTCTCCTGCCTCAGCCTCCGGAGGAGCTGGAATTACAGGCACCTGCTACCACGCCTGGCTATTTTTTTAATATATTTTTAATAGAGGCGGGGTTTCACCACGTTGGCCAAGCTGTTCTCAAACTCCTGACCTCAGGCCATCCATCCGCCTTGGCCTCCCAAAGTGCTGGGATTACAGGCATGAGCTGTGGCACCCTGTGGTTCAGTGTTCTTAAGATGTCAGTTAGATCAACTGGTGGAGCTTGTGACTATTCACATCTTCTGTGGCCTTACTGATTTTTTACTCATCCTACAATGTATTGAGAGTTATGTTAAAATCTCCAGCTGTAATTCTAGATCTGTCTACTTGAGCAGTTTTTGCTTAAAGTATTTTGAAGCTGTCATGTGTACACATTTAGGATTGTTAAGTCTTCCTTATAAATTCAGTCTTTCATTTTCATAACATTTTAACCTTTATTTCTGTTAAATGTCTTGATGCCTAGTTAAATTATTTGACCACCCTTTTGCTCCTGTCAAGCCTGGGCCTTTGTTAGTTTGTGCTTATTTATTAGGTTTTTGCCTGTAGACTTAGACAGTGACTCTTACTCTAGGAAAGATTCATCCTCATGGGCCCCAGCCACATGTTCTAGGTATACTTGGTGAGTTCTCTCCACTCTGCTATGTCCCAAATTTGTGTGATCTCTGGCATCTCCACTCAGCCCTCAGAAGTGCCAGCCACTCTGCAGAGGCCCTGTGGAGCCTGCCTACTGTATGCACTCCCCCCAGCCCTTGGCCCCAGGGCATACTCTTTTGAGGCCTCACCTGTATGTAGTTCCCTCTTCTCCAGTACCTTATTCTATAAACTCCAAACACGTTAGCACTGCAAGACTCTTAGCTTCGTGACAGTGACATTGCCTCATTTTTGGAGGTCTCTACCTCTCTCTGTGTGGTCAAGAAACTGCCATTGGACAGAAAAGAGAAGTGTATGTGAGATTTGCCTCCTGTGTTTTCCTGTTCTCAAATATCACAGTCCTGTTCTGCCTGTGTTCCAATCCCCGAAAACAGTTCTCTCAAATATTCTATCTAGTTTCAGTTTTCTCGTTGGTCATGGTGGGAGGGCAAGTCCATCTTGGCTGGAAGAGGAAGTCCTTCTGCATCTTTTTCTCTTTGTCCTTCCACCTTCTTTTGCATTGTGGATTCTCTAAACTTGCCGTATATGTAAGCATGTGCCTATTTGTCAAGGGAAAGGAAAAACCTTTTAATTTTTTAAAGCTGTTCTGTTGGTTCCTCACAAGGATCTGAAGGGATGGGTAACCAGGATGAAAGAAATTCTGTCTTTCACATGGAGAATACCGTGTGTGACATTAATAAAAATGAGCATGTCTGTAAGCAAAGAGTTTCACTGAGCTCTGCTAGATTCAGAAGCAATTGAACTTACAACATCGTAGTTTGCAAAACACAGATTTGATTTACCCAGGAACTAAAGCTAAGTAAGCTATGGGTTAATAGAAGTTCTGTGAAGGGTACTTAGACTACAGTAAGATTGGGGAAGAAAATTCCATTTCCAAATCTAGGATATATCATTCCTTTGTGCCAAGCACATAATGAAGGTAGAGGTTTAAGGGGGCCCTTAGCACAGAAGCACTGGGTTAGTCAGAAGGTGAGGTGAGCTGTCACACAGCCTTGATGCTAGAATGAGGGTGCCCTGGTAGTATCTTATCAGCCATGACACGGGTGCATCGGGACTTTTTCTTTTTTTTTTTGAGACAGGCTCTTGCTTTGTTGCTCAGGCTGGAGTGCAGTGACATGATCATGGCTCAGTGCACCCTCGACCTCGTAGGCTGAAGCAATTTTCTCACCTCGGACTCCCGAGTAGCTGGGACCACAGTCTTGTACCACCATACCCAGCTAATTTCTTAATTTTTTTGTAGAGATGGGGGTCTCCTTTTGTTGCCTAGGCTGATTTTGAACTCCTGGGCTTAAGTGATTCTCCTGCTTCCACCTCTCTAAGTGTTGGATTACAGGCATGCCAGACATATGGAAAAATTCTCAACTATCTGAAAATATGTGAAAAGCTTTGTTATGCATTGTGAGACAACACAGCGGGAATATTTCATCATCTGCCTAAGGTTTAAAAGGAAATAACTTTAAGCATGTGTCTAAATAGCAAGTAATGTTTTAGAGCGGATTCTCTTAAATTCAGCTCAGACGTCTGCAGCATATACACAGCTTGAGCTGTAACCTGACATGGAGACAGGCTACTTCAGTGCCCACTGTTCTTAGGATCCACTGCTTTTTCACAGCTAAAACCCCCGAGTGGCACCGTTAAGTATTATGTTATGTTACTTTAGTCGTTAAACATATAAGCATACCTCCAAATATTGAATGTAGGCCACTTGCAGAAAGTAGGCAGAATGCTCACATTTAATTCTTGATGATACTGTATTTAGCTTTCTTATTCTTTGAAATCTCATTGAGAAGAAATACTGGCATCTGCTCAAAGTAATTTCTTTTTCAGTTGACAATATTATAAGTAATGTTATTGTATCATTTCACTACTTGGACAGAGTGTGAAAATTTTGAGGAGCTTGTCTGCCAGAAATTTCTTCTTCATTTGCGAAACATTAATGAGATATTATATTTAAATTATTTAATATTAAGTGTACTTGGTGAACATGGCATAGAACATACAAAATAAAACTAATTTACAATTATTAACTATTACATTTATAGGAAAGACTTGCTAATCATAACACTGTTCATAATGATTCTGAATAAAGCATTATTTCTTTTACTGAAAACAATTGTAGCTATAACTCAATCATCTAAATTGTCATTAGTTTTATTGCTTTCTAATCATCTTTAGCTGAAATTTTAATTTTGATTAATTTTCTTTTTCTCCATTGGTTTCGTGTGTGTGGAGGTAAAATATACAGAATATAGAATTTGCCAGTTTTTCTATTTTTACGTGTACACTTCAGTGGCATTTAAATACATGCAGCACCATTTTACCTTCCCACCAGCATTGCACAGGGTTTCCGTTTCTCCACATCCTGCCCAACATTTGTTTTTCTGGTTTTCTTGGTTTCCGTTTTTTGTTTGTTTTGATAATAGCATTTTAATGGGTGTGAAGTGGTATTGCATTATGGTTTTGATTTATATTTTCCTAGTGACTAGTGATGTTGAGCGTCTTTTCCAGTGCTTATTGACCATTCGTATATCATCTTTGGAGCAATGTCCATGTATATCCTTTGCCCAGTTTTGAATTGTGGTGTTTGTCTTTTTGGAGTTCTCTATATACTCTGGATATTAATTCCTTATAATGTATGTAGTTTACAAATATTTTCTCCATTCTCTGGGTTGCCTTTTACTCTCTTGACAGTGGTTCTTGATGCACAAAAGTTTTTAATTCTGATGAAGTCCAGTTTGTCCGTGTTTTCTTTTCTTGCCTGTGCCTTTGATGTTCTATATAAGAAATCATTGCCAAATTCATTGTCGTGAAGCTTTTCCCATTTTCTTCTAAAAGTTTTCTAACTTTAGCTCTTACATTTAGGTCTTTGGTCTATTTTAGGTTACTTTTTGTATTTGGTGTTAGATAAGGGTCCAACTTCATTTTAGCTGAAATTTTATGTATTTTAAAATTGATTATGAAAAGCATGAAATGTTTAGTTGAATAGAAAATTTTGTGCAGTGGAATTAACTGAATCTTTAAAACCTTTTTATTATGGAAATATCCAAACTAATCCATACATAGAAGAATATAATTAGTCCCCCATGTGCCCAGGCCCCAGCATTAATTATCAATGTTTTGCCAATCTCGTTTCATTTACATACACACCCCCACACACATTTTTTCCTAGAAAATTTTAAGTAAAATCACAGATATTATGTCATTTTACCCATAAGTACATAAATGTACATTTCTTAACGTGGTATGTCTTTCTCTCATCACCTGTTTTGTTCTTTACTTTTATGCATTATACTATGTCATTATCAGACCTTGCAAAATTAACAAGAATTCCTTAATATGTCATATCCAGTTAATGATTGACTCATTTCTACTCTAGTTAAAGTACAATTTAGGAGGAGTTTTGAGGATATTTTTTAACATTAAGATATAAACTTTTATAACAAGTGCTAAAATAATTGTGGCTAAAGTCTAACATTTCTATTGGCAAATTGGAAATTAGTAAACATAGACATAGATTCTGCTCATTTTGCTTTCAATCTAAAATCATAGTTAAGATTACTGGCCGGGAGCGGTGGCTCACATCTGTAATCCCAGAACTTTGGGAGGCAGAGGCGGGTGGATCACGAGGTCAGGAGTTCAAGACCAGCCTGGCCAATGTGGTGAAACCCCGTCTCTACTAAAAATACAAAAAAAATTATTCGGTCATGGTGGCAGGTTCTTGTAACCCCAGCTACTCTGGAAGCTGAGGTAGAGAATTGTTTGAATCCAGGAGGCGGAGGTTGCAGTGAGCCAAGATCGTGTCACTGCACTCCAGTCTGGGCGACAGAGCGAGACTCCGTCTCAAAAAAAAAAAAAAAAGTTTACTATGCTAGAAAGTCTTCCTGTAGAGACATTTTTAAGAAGTATTATGATAGGCATTGCCTCTGGAAAGCAGGCATGAATAGATGGCTGGGGTCTATCATGAGAGAGACCGTTCTCCATATATCACTTTGTACCTTCACATGTTGCCTTTTGTTTTGTTTCGGTCTTTTTTTGAGACAGGACCTTGCTCTGTCACTCAGGCTAGAGTGCAGTGGCATGATCATAGCTCACTATAACCTTGAACTCCTGGGCTCAAGTGATCCTCTTTCACAGCTCCCCGAGTAGCTGGGATTACAGGCATGCACCCCCATGCCTGGCTGTATATTGCTATTTTGTATTTTAAAAACCTAATCCTGACTGTGCTGGTAATCGCAGGAATCTGTGCACATACATGCAAACAAGTACATGTAAAACTGGTGAAATCTGAATAAGCTTCATGGATTATATCAACGTCAGTTTCCTGATTCTAACAATGTATGATACTTATGTAAGTTGTCATCATTGAGACAAAGCGAGTAAAGGATATGTGAGATCTTCGTATTATTTCTTATGACTGCAAAATAAAAGGTTTTTAAAACTAAGTTATAATAACAAAGAACTCTGTGTCAAAACTAAAATATAAAGTTGAAATATCAATTTTATTTTTTAGGAATCTGGTGAACAGTAACAAACTTTGATGAAATTTCAGGAACCATAGCCATTGAAATGGATGAGGGAACCTATATACATCCACTCGACAATGGTCTTTTTACCCTGGGAGCTCCACACAAAGAAGGTTTGTGTCTGGAAGGGAAGATCCTGCCACAAGTGTAGATTTTAGGACATTCATTCACTTAGGCCAAACTCTAACTAGTCTCAAACATTTTCCAAAGGAATGGAACCATTGCATTTGACTCGTCCATTTTTTTAATTCCTTAATATTTACTAGCCGTTGGCAAGTCCCTCTTTCTAATATAAGCATTTGAAAACATTCCATATAGTTCCAGAAGAGTATCTTTGGAAATCAAAACAATATGAATAATTAAAATAGTAAGTGGAAAGAAAAAAGAAAACCTATTTGAGTCAAACATGTTTGAATTTCTTTTTTATTCAGACCTATTACCAAAACTAACCTGGGTGCATTTAACAATTTGAAGTTTCCTCATTTTCTTTAGCCCATTAGAGGAAGCACTAATGAGATACGAAATAATTAGAAGATAAAAAGCAGTATCATTTGGTCAGCAAGGCCATCCATTGAATAAATGAAAGCATTTAGCTTTTTTAAATAAGTGCTTATTTATGACTGTATTTTAAAACATAAAGAGAAGCTATCTCGAAAGTTATTAAATAAGCATTATATCACCCTGTCTTACTCAGTGTATAAAATTAGCACTGTAGTTAAAAGAAGGTAAAATAGATCTTGATTCCAAAGATACAGTATTACAGTGACATCAGTATATCTGAATATTCTTACATTTAATTGCAGAAGAAAATAGCAACATTTTTAAAGCAAAATAATGTCTTTATATTTATAGCAAATGTCAAATTTATTTTCAAATGTTTTTTTCTCCAATATTGATGAGGGCCCTAGTCCTCCAGAGCAGTTTATGGCTGTCAAATTATCTGATTCCAGGTGAGCTTATGTTGTAATATAATTAGTAACCAGTTATTTTAAAAATTTAATTGTATTCATTAAAATTTTTAGTATCTGTCTTAAACCCATGGTAATTTTGATATAAAAAATGAAATAGCTTTTTTGAAAAGTAGATTTTGTGATCTACTTTTAGTGGATTTCCTATCAATATATAATGCTAGGCTGGAAGAAAGATATGTAAGTTAAAAAATGAAGATTAATAATTTCACACACCAAGTAAGATAGATTAAAAAATAAATCAAATACTACAAAACCTTGTTCACTGTTGCTATGATATTTAAACTCACTGTTTGGAAGTCTAAAGACAAACAGGAAGACTAAAAAAAGGAATATTGTTGAAACCAGCAGAGAATGTTACAGCATCATAACAAACAAAAGAATATTTTTACTCACTATTTTTACAGTCATTTTATAAAGTAACCTTTTTTATTCTCACCTTGTGCAGAAGTATAGAATGATTCTTTGGGTAAAAGATACTGAAAGTGAATTTACATATTTTAGTAATTGGTTACATCAACATGATAATGATTTCTGTTATATAATCATTAACGTATAAAGGAGTAAAAGTCAATTCTGGCATCCGAGGAAATTCTTGGTAAGGTAAAAGAAATCATAATTTTAAAAAATCACATTAAGATGATTATTTCTATACTTTCTTTGAAAGTCTGATAAGTAGGGTGAAAGACAGAATAAAAGCAGAGGAAGAAAAATTCAATAGTTTTAAACTGCTTTACAATTATAAACAAAAAAGGATTATAAAGAAAACTGACAAATGAGGAAAATATTTGCAACAATCTTAATAGGCAGTGAGTTCTTACTCTTCATATGTATCTTGTATAGAATTCATAGCACTGAAGAACCCAGTAGGAAAATTGCGAACAATCAGATCTGAATAGAAAAATGGACAAGGACATTACCAGATAATCTAAAAACTAAAAAGGAAAGGAAAAGAGAAACAATTGTTATTCTAGTTAACTACTAAAATGCAAATTAATAGGATACTGTTTTTTTCCATATCAGGTTTTCAAGTATTTTTTTAGAGTCATAATGTTTTAAAAAAAATCCATGATACAAAACATACTCCGTTAATTTGAGGTAAGAATGTAAATGGAAGCAGCATTTTCTGGAAAACAGTTTGATGACATAAAGTTTTAGTAATTTATTATTGAAATTTATAACTAAAGAGGTATAATTGAAGAATGATGAATTTTGAAAATATTTGTTATGTAATAAATAAGGTACCATGTTTATATTAAAAAAGCAAAATATAAAACTAAATTTAAAACTTTACTGTCCAATATGGCCACAACTAGTCACATGTAGCTTTTTTTTTTTTTTGAAGGCACAGAGTCTCACTCTGTCACCCAGGCTGGAGGGCAGTGGTGTGATCATAGCTCACTATAACCTCAAATTTCTGGGCTCAAGCACTCCTCCTGTGTCAGCCTCCCAAGTAGCTGGTATTACATATGCACACCACCATGCCCAGCTAACTTTTTAAATTTTTTGTAAAGATGGGGTCTCACTATGTTGTCCAGGCTGATCTTGAACTTCTTGCCTCAAGCAATTCTCCCATTGCCTTCCCAAAGCACAAAGATTACAGGAGTGAGTCACCACTCAGCCACATGCATCTTTTGAACACTTGGAATATGTCCAGTCTGAAACTTTAGATATGTACACACCCACACACATACACATGTCCTGTTTTGATGTCCTATAATTAATTTTCTCTCAGTTTTTAACTTTTGTCCATCTTATTAATGTACAGAATCACCCTGAAATCTGGCTATGGAAAATATCTTGGTATAAATTCAGATGAACTTGTTGTTGGGCATTCAGATGCAATTGGACCAAGAGAACAATGGGAACCAGTCTTTCAAAACCTAAGTGCTGTTATTGTTTATAAAAACTTCCTGTCAGTTTCACACAAAGTCTGTAACAGTCAATCATAATATATTTAAAAAGAAAAAGTAGGATGCAATAGTGTAATACATTAAATTGGAATAAACCAGCAAGAACATAGAGCCTTAAAGAGATCTCAAAATACAGTGCAACAAAAATCGCATTAGTACTTTTGCCCACAATTATTTCTCTATACCCTTAGTGCCTAGATATGGATCTCATTTCCATTAAAGAACCAGTCAATTTTAGGTCACAGAGTAGGAAAACAGAATAGTTCATAAGTATCTTCTTTGTAGCAGAAATCATGCATGCTTTCAGAAACATTACAGACTGCAAGCAAACAGTGGAGCTAGCTAAGACCAAGTTGTGACAATTTGCATATAAAATATAAATAATAATAGTTCACTGAAGTAAATTATCTCTAAGATTTTCAGCTCATAAGCTTAAAATAGTGTATGAAAAGATAGTTTTAATATAAGAAGAAAAAAGATAATATACTAATTCTCAATTTTAGTAAGTAGACAGTTGTAGTATACGGATGTTTTGTTAAATCTTTGTTGATACAGAATACATAATTTCCTTTTTCTGTTTGTGTGAGAAGTAAAGATTGAACAAAAATATGTGAGTGCTAAACTGTCTTTAAAAAGTAGATAACTATATCAAAAACAGTAAGGACCAGTGGGCACCACGCAGAACAAGCAAATAGAAGATAAGCTCAGCCTTTGAGTAGCAGCTTTGGTAGTATACAATAATGAACTGAAAATAGGAACACAGCAGTGTTTTCTAAGATGACAGATTAAACAAACATCCCACCAGAAAGAGGTAATCACTTAGACTAATTTCGTCATCCCCCAGGATAAAATCTTAAGTCAGTGACTTGAAAACTATTTTGACCCAATCCATTGAGAAATGCATTTTTACATTGCCAGCCCAGCACAAACATATGTATAACTGAAGCAAGAGTTGTACTTAACAATACTTACTTATCCATGTGTTATGCACCTTGATATTTCGTATTCTCTTTTACCCCTTTCTCTGTGTGTCTGTGTGTATTCCTTTTCCCCCCCACCCACCCAATACCCTTGAGGAAACAATACATTGATTTCATTACTTGCTAATGTGTTGCAACCCCTTTGAGATGTCCTACTAGTTATGATGAGATGCTTCTAATAAAAGTTACACCAGTAGAAAATGCCAATATTTCATAAGGCCAGGATGATGACTTAGATAGCACTAATAATACAACACTTTAGGAAAGTTCATTTCATTTTATTTTTAGGAAGGACACTAAGCTTCAAAAATTTAAATTTGAATGAAAGAGGGTCTTAAAAATCTATTGCAAAAAGGACTCAGCTGAATAATCTGTGGCACAGGTTTAAATCGCCTTGGACCACACCGCCATGTTCCAGGGCTCACCAGGAGCCATCCAGATGAGAGACCTCCCAGCCCTTGTGACTTGACTAAGAAATTAAATCCATGTTATCAGCACGTTTTTAACTGGATGTGATATAAGTTTAACATATTTTGTAATCATTTTATTTATAAATATTTTGTCTAAATGTTATGATATTCCAGGTTTTCCAAAAGAATCAACCAAAAAGAAGTTATAAATAAACGTTATATTTGGTACGGGAGTTAAGCTAACAAAATTTATAACCCAGATTTAAATACACAAGAAAATCAGTTTTTAAAGTTTTGTTTAATAGAAACCAGTGTAATACATCAAACATTAAACAACTAAAAATGTATATGAATATTTATTTTCACACACAAGGGTCCCTCAGACATTGATTCTTAAATTCAAAACACCAAAGTCATTATATGTACCTTTTCATGTTTTCTAATTGTGAAGAAAATAAATTTTACTTAAACTGTTAATATTTGAATAAAGTATGCATTCATAATTATGTTCTTGTCTTTGAAGTTGATTTTCCAAGCAGAACTAAATCAGTTTTATCTTCAGTAGATCTTTTAGAAAGGAAGCAATCCTACTAGGAAGATACACTACAAATGTTTATTGTGGTAATCTTTGAATAGTAAAATGAAAGGTGATTTTGGTTTCCTTTTCTATATGTTCTTATATTATATTTTTCAGGTTTTTCTCTAAGTTCTTTTCTGTGATTTTTAAATCAGGGAGGAAAAATTAATTCAGTCTAAACACTTAATGTTTTTTCCACAGGAAGTATCCTCATGGCTATTTTGTTATTTTCTTTCACTTAGGGGAAAATGGCTTTGTTGGCCTCAAATGGCTGCTTTATTAGATGCAATGAAGCAGGGGACATAGAAGCAAAAAGTAAAACAGCAGGAGAAGAAGAAATGATCAAGGTAACGATGACATTTTATACAGATGACTGCATTCACACATGCAATATGACTGTATCTCTTTAAAATGTTAAGTCATCATTTACTGTCACTTTAAAGATTTACTTAATAGCTTTTTATAATGTGGTGTTTCAAATAGACTCATTTTTAATTACAAATCTCATAGTTGATGGCTTGTTTCTACAATGTGGTAGAGAAATCAGTGCATCTAGGAGCTACCGTGCCACTATCTCCATGGATTAGTATCTTTTTCTGGTAGTTCCACATACTCTTTTTAAACTTTCATTTTCTTATTTTCTTGTTTGTATTTTAAAATCTAATTTTTAAAATAAATAACATGTACATGTGGTCCAACATTTTTAAATAAAAGCATATGAAGATGAAGACATATGCCTGCCATGCATCTTACCTGTGTCCCAGGTCCTGTTCCTCTTTCCCTTTGTTTTGTTTTTTTATAGCCTCCTAAAATTTCTTTATAAACATATGAGTATATTTATAATTTTCAACTGTTTTACACTAAAGGCAGCCTCCTCTATCGTCTTCTTGACTTTGATTTTTTTTTCCTTAAAATTGTATCTTGGAGAGTTTTCTACTATTAGTTTGAATGTAGAAAGTTTTCTCTTTTTCTTGCTTTTTCTCTCTTTCTCTTTTTTAACAGCCACATAATATTCCATTTTAGGGCTATACCTTAATTTATTTAGTCTTTTATAGATGGAAATTTAGGCTGTTTCCAGTCTTTTGCTCTTATAAACAGTGCTGCGGTACATAACATTGAATATGCATCAATTTGTGGATGTGCGGGTGGACCTGAAGATAAATTTCCGGAATCAGAATTACCAGGTCGGAGTATATGTGTTTGTATTTACATAATGCTTGAGCTTCTGTGATGATAATCACTCTATGAAACATAAAAAATCATAGCAGAACTTCTGGGGCCTTAGCCCTTACATTTTAAAAATATTTTTAGTAATAGTACCCATCATCTTTGCATTAGGAGAAACAGGAATCACATAAAACATGATTTTTATTTTATTTTGAAAATTTGTGTGCATCACTAAGCTGGAAATAAAAGTTCCTTATTCCAGGCTAAATTCCCTCATCCGTAGTCAGATGCGTTATCCATTGCACCAGTGGCCTGTGCCCTCCCTAATCCTACTCTTTGTTTTACATCATTGTAAAAGTTACACAGACATCTTCATATCAAGGTGAAATTCTAAATAATACTGTTAATATAACCTAGATAAATCAGGTAGTTAACTGGAATTTGATGAAAACATTTAAGGCTTAATTTTTTAGACTCACAAAAGCCACTGATCTTTAATGATAAACATATACCAGGGTGTGTCTAAAGAATAACTCCCGCCTTCTTGACACATGGCTTTTCTGTGTCTTGGCATTCCATCGCAGTACTGAGCATCCTGAACCTTGCTTTGTTTGTCTCTGTTGGGAATCACAGGTTGCATCCAGTCTGACCCGGATTTGCTCTGTAAGGCATTGTAGGGGCCAGAGTGGAAGGCTCTAAGAGAGGGGACAAATGCCTTTTCTAAAATGCCCTTCGTTCTTATAATTAGAGCATAAAAATTTATGTTACATTTTTCTCTACTACCAGTGTAATTTAAAAGCATCTATCAATTCTCTGTGTGTGCTTCATTTTAGATTTCCGGTCATGTTTGATTTTCTTTTTAGAATAGTCTTGATTTCAGATAATTTCAAATCTAAAGCTCAAACAATTTCATTCTAAAATGTAGGTATTTTCTTACAGTTAGAGAAGTGAAATGTTATATTTTTTCGTTGCATGCATCCGGCACATAAGTTGTAGTCTTGAATTTCCATAATGCTCCTGTGAGGTGGATATGAGCTCAGCCTTACAGACAGGAAGACAGCCTCTGACCCTCCTTACATCCTCATTGTTTTTGTCAGTCAGTTCATGGAAATCACAGTGATTTCAAGATGTGGTAAGACAGGATGTGTACCCAGGCCCAGCTGACTCCAGAGGCCACTCTCAGTATTTCATAGAACATTGCTTCTCAGGAAACAGGCCGTTGAGGAAATGCAGATGGGTTTGTGACTTACATTTAATTTTACTTATTTATATTTTATTGTATCATGTTTAAATTTTTCATCTGGATATCATCACAAAAGTGTTATTGAAGGCAACAATTGGAAATATATGTGCAGTGTTTTGCACTTATACAAAGATACAAAGATACTTACACAAAGATTGCGTTTTTCACTATTTAAAGAAATTTTCTGATGAAATACAAAGTTTTCTGGGTCTCTTTGGTTAGTCAAGTACTTGGAAACTCTGAACAGTGATTACTTAGGACTCTTTTCATACCATTTAATTGCAGGCTTTCCTAATCTCTGTCAGTCCTTCACCTTTATGACCTTGCCTTGTCTACCAGAACACACATCCCTCTTACTAAAGGTAGCATTGTCCTACAGGCCCTAGCAGGGAATGTTTTCATGTCTGGGACCCCTCTAATCAAAACTGTCACAAAGATGTCATTGGCACAAACACGTTATTTGTCATCACTTTCTAAGCAGCCCTGGAACTGGAATCTGGCCACAGAGATCCCTTAAGAGACATGAGTCATTACCATTGCCAATTGCCTGTTCTGTGGGTGATCCTAATTGTTGAATGCAGATCAATTAACTTATGACATGTGATAGTAAACAGCTATCCAAACTTAGGAGGATATAAGAAGCTTGTAAAAGAGGTGGGTTCCAATTAATTAAAAACAAGTTGTGTAATGTTAAAAATCTTAATACTTTGGTAATAGTCTGTGCAACGTAAAATAGCTATTAAGCTTTCAATCTGATCAAATGAACACTTGTCTACTAGGGATAATTTGATCCTAGTGTATTCACTTGGAGGACAAAACTAAATTAATGATTGCTTTATTGCCTAGCAGGATCTGATGTGTAAAATGTTTCTGAAATAATTTTGTCTGTAGTGTTTCTGACACAAGGGCTGCGGAGGAAGCATGTGATAGCACTTACTCATATAGATTATATATATGAAGTAAAAACACATAGCCAGAACCTGTCTTTTTCTGAATATAGTTGCTCAGTTAATTTTTTCTTCTGCATAAGAAATCATCTCGAATGTTCTTATGTGATACGTAAAGTGGGGAAAGTGGAAGATAAACATATAACCCATTGGATTCTCTTTTCCAATATCTAGATTAGATCCTGTGCTGAAAGAGAAACCAAGAAAAAAGATGACATTCCAGAAGAAGACAAAGGAAATGTAAAACAATGTGAAATCAATTATGTGTATGTATGCTTTTCCTTTTAGACCTACGGATTTGACAGTGAAGTGCTTCTCAAAGTGCTTTCAAAATAAATTACCTAATTAGCTGGGGATGGTGGTGCATGCCTGTAGGCCCAGCTACTCGGGAGGCTGAGACAGGAGGATTCTTTGAGCCCAGGAGTTCAAGGCCCCAGTGAGCTCTGATCACCACTGCATTCCAGCCTGGGTGACAGAGCAAGACCCTGTCTGAAAAAATGAAACCTGATGGACAAAAGAGGCAACACAATGTAGCCTCTGGGACAGAGCACTGAGCTAAATGCTTTTCTTTTCTTGAGGGTTCAGTTTTCCTAATCATCCTACCAGCTCCCAAAGCTAGTCACTCGGGTTAGTCAATCTCTCTATTCATTCATAGAATGGGCATGATGCCAGTCAAAGGCTGTGCTATGGCCAGGACACAGGGGACTCCAGCCAGCATGCCCTAATAGAAGTGGGGCCTTTTGCTACCCAGTCAATGAGTAGCCCTCCTCTTGAGAGGTCACGAGAGTCATCTTTGTTGTTCAAATGCTCCAGCTTATTAAAAAAAAAATACAATTAGACTTTTGTTTCTCCCCCAAGACGGAGTCTCGCTCTGTCCCCCAGACTGGAGTGCAGTGCCATGATCTCGGCTCATCGCAACCTCCACCTCCCAGGTTCATGTGATTCTCCTGCCTCAGCCCCCCAAGTAGCTGGGACTATGGGCACGCGCCACTACGCTCGGCTAATTTTTGTATTTTTAGTAGAGACGAGGTTTCACCATGTTGGCCAGGCTGTTCTCGAACTCCTGACCTCGAGTGATCTGCCTGCCTTGGCCTCCCAAAGCTGGGATTGCAGGTGTGAGCCACTGCATCTGGCCTACAATTAGACTTTTTTAATAAGTGAAAAAGAAATTAACAGTATTTATAAATTTAATAGTAAATATGTATAATCAGAGTTTGAGGTACTTTTCAATGAAGACATTTTCTTTGCAGAAAGAAATTTCAGAGCTTCCAAGAGCACAAACTTAAAATAAGTAAAGAAGACAGTAAAATTCTTAAAAAGGCTCAGAAAGATGGATTTTTGCAAGAGACGCTTCTGGACAGGTAGCTATTTATTTACTTATTTTCACTGTTTTCAGTAGCCAATAGAAATGGCATGTAGAAAACCTATATTCTCTTAAATTACTGTAGTTTTCAAATTTTTGTCTTCATTTCTAATTTATGAGTGTGCAAAATTACCTAGAGAGGACATCATGAGTTTGGGAAAAGACTGTCAACAAAGAATATCTAAAAATTATAACCGATTCTAAGTATATACTTTAAGAAATTCAGGTTTGACTGTATCTACTTCATAAATTTATCATTATCTTTTTATAACTATTAGAACCAGAGTTAGAAAGAAGCAGTTTGGCTAATATAAAAATTATGTGGATTCTGTTAGAGTAGTTCAGCTTCCTTAAAATAAGCATATATCAACTAACAAACTAAATATAAAAGCTAAACAAGTGAAATTGAAGCAGTTTTATTGTAAGATTTGGAAGAGTGCAGGATGTTTATCATAGCACATTATTAATATTTATTATTCTTCCTATGTAGATAAGTAATGTCCTAGATTTATACCATAGAAAAACAGGTAGAGACGTTTAGCTGTGAGTGTACAAGTATAAATCAATTAAGTGCCAGATTTTGATCATCACCAGTTGCTCATTCAAGTCCTATGTTGCAAAGTTACTCTTACCCTTTTTTACATTACTTGATAAAGGCAATGTTTAATTACATATTTCCTGTTAACTAGCTGGTAGAGTACATACGTAAAGTCAGTAAATAATGTTACAAATTTTTTCCAGCTGAGTAAGTGAATATGTATCTAGTTGTAAGAAATCAAGAAGAGGATAAAAAATATAATCAGGATGTGGACTCTAAAACGGAATAAACTCTATGTCCTGTAACTTTTCTCACTTGTAATAATACAGCATTCTCACCCTGTTAAATGGAAATTTAGAGCACCCTTAAATTCCGGAATAAAATTGCTATTTGGATAGAAAAAACCCTTAGGCAACATTTATTGAATATTAGGAAATAACTTTTATAGGATTATAATCCATTTTTTATAGAAACCAAATTTAAAAGTATACATATTTTAATATAAGTGTTGTGATAATACAGTAACCAAAATTGAACACACAGTTTTATAGCTTTTTATATTTAGTAGCAGTTGAATATATATGGCATGTTTTACATAGATTAATTTTACTATTTTTATTTGTTTAAACAAGAGGACCAAATTGAAAGCCGACAGATACTGCAAATGACTGGGATTTTTGTTTCTGCCTTATCTTTTTGTGTTTTTTTCTGAATAAAATATTCAGGGGAAATGCTTTTACAGAGTTCTTGAGTTGTTGTGAAATTATTGTTTAGCTAGTAGCTAGTTTAACCAGGATTAAACAAGTATAATCAGGATTCTTCATGGATGTACTTTTTAGCTAACTACAGTTTTTCACATGAAAATGAAACTTACAGTACACACTTAACGTACCACAGAATTATTTTCTGGGTTTCCTGTCCTGAAGCATGAAGTGTACTAGAAACCAATTCTTCCTGCGCTACTTGTGGAATCTTTCTTACTGGATCATAATCTTACTTTACTTTATACAATAGATGCTTAATCAGTGCCTTTAATAGGAAGTTAGAAACTCCCAATCCAATCAACAAGGCTTTGATTCTACCTCCTAAGTACTACCCAGATCACAGACAATCCAAATGTCAGAACTAGGGGGCTGGGCAGAGAAGACAAATCATCTATTAGGGAGTGGAACAGAAAGTGGAAACATTACAAAGGAGCAAGTAGGCTCAGAACAGAGGGGAGAGTAGTACTGGGGAAACTCCCTACTGAAGACAGATTTGCCACAGTGGATATGTATGTGATGCTTTTGTCCTCGTGGCCTGGAATGGAAGCTGATAAAGAAGTTCAGACGCTACGTGTTGCTTAGGTCTGCTTTGTTGAAGCCTGTCTCTTTCAGAGTTCCTAAACACGATATTCCCATGGCATCTAATCCCAGTGAGTGCTCCAAAGCCAGGCTGTGTATCAGATGCCACGGGAAATTCTGCCTCAGGACTGAGGTTGGTTCAAGCATCTGGATGATGTCAAAAGTCCACGTTGTGTGCTGGCCTAACCTGAAAGACCCTATCTAGTTCTAGCCTTTAAATTCCTTCTGTCACCAAATCTAGAGTTACATGGCATCTGTACAAGCTAGGTAGCTGAGGCATGGGATCAGCCCTATAAAGGAGCTTTTGGAACTTTTGTTGTAGATCTAGCTTCAACTTGGCACTCCAGTTCCAATAGCTGGACTTTCTCTCATCGTGTGTTCTGATCCTTGGATTCGGAACAAAGTAACCACTCTGATCCCACAAAGCAGTGGTTCCAGTTCCCAAATGGTGACTATTTTGCCTCCCAGGGGACATTTTTGGTTTTCACAACTGGAATACGGTGTTAGAGAGTAGAGGTTAGGGATGCTGCGAAGCATATGGCAGAATCCTGTTCCGCCCAGAATGCTAACAGTGCCAAGGTTATGGAGCCTTCCCACCCAAGGGCTTGGTCTATTCCTTGCTTTTGCTAGCTCCCTAACCCTTAAACACAACAGTTCAAATCTATATGCATAAGCATCTCCTAGGGACCTGCACATTTCCAATATTGACTACTGAGACCCATCCATAGAGATACAGGCTTAGGAGGTCTAGGATTGGGCTCAAAATTTGCATTTTTATAAGTACTCCAGGTCATTCTGAAGCAAGTGATACAAACCACAGAATGAGGAACACCACCTTCAAGAGACTGAATCTGGCTTCCCAACACTAGCTTGGTATCTGAGACCATCTGCCTGCTGACTGGCTTTCCTGGCACAAATATTCTGCATGTAGGCACAGTGTGTTCCTGGACTCCATGCCAACCCGTTCACCCTCATGTTCCCTTGGTTCCTGTCCCCAGTCCAGCGAGCAGAACTGATTACAGATCTTGACAACAGAAGATACAGATTTAAAATAACTTGCCTGTTCCCGTGGACTTTATCCACTAGTGAAGGAGGACAAGTGGATAAGGGGAGAGGGTAGGTGGGGGCTCCTTCCCTATTCCTCCCATTCCACTTTATACAAACCTCAGCTAGACCACTGGGAGAGCAACGGAGGTTAAGAATGACTGCATCTAAATATTGTCATCTGGTCCACTCTTCTTCCATCTTGTACACAGGATATCATGAGTTTTGTTTAAAGCACTACTGAAACCAAGTTAAACTCTGGCTTAGCATGCCCCTGACGGATCAGTGTAGTAATCTTATCAAAACCAAGATTACCTAAAAGCACTAACCAAAGGAAAAGCTCCCTCACCTCAACCTATGACTGCTCACATTTTTCAGATTGAATCATTTCAATTGTATTTTAAGGTTCATTGACTCTTTACCACCTCCAAGCTGCTCCTGAAAGCAACTGATTATTATTTTTTAATTTTGAAAAGGTTCTCACTTCTAGAATTTCCACTTAAGCCTTTGTTATTATTGTAGTTTCTTCTTCTCTGCTGTGATTTCCTATCCATTTATTTTAAGGGTTTTTGGGGTTTTGATTTTAGTAAGAATTACAATAACTACTTTAAAAATCCACACTAATTCCAACATCTGGGTCATCTCGAGGTCAGTCTCTATTGATTGCCTTTTTCTTTGAATATGTTTCTTTATATGTTTATTATAATGGGATTGAATTCTGAAGATTGTAAAACTAGATTTTGTTCTGTTCCTCTGAAAATTTTGATAATTTTTTGTTGTATTTGTTGTATTTTGCTTGATTTTTTTTCTATTGTATACTTTACAATATATTTTCCTCCAATGGTATTAACATATCTATTTCTCAAAATATTTATGTTTATGTTAAAAATTATACAAAGTAGCTTGGTGCAGTGGCTCCCGTCTGTAATCCCAGAACTTTTAGAGGTCAAGGCAAGAGGGTCACTCGAGCCCAGGAGTTGGAAACCAGCCTAGACAACAGGGCAAGACCCTGTCTCCACAAAAAATTATTAGGGTGGTACAAAAAGTAATTGCGGGTTTTGCCATTACTTTCAATGGCAAACCCCGCAATTACTCTTGCACCAACCTGATAAAAAATAAGCTGGGTATGGTGGTGGCATGTGCCTGTGGTCTCAGCTATTTGGGAAGTGAAGGCAGAGGTGGGAGGATTGCTTGAGCCCAGGAGTTCCAGACCAGCCTGAGACCCTGTCTCTATGAGAAAAAAAAAAAATTTAGCTGGGCCCACATACCTGTGGTACTAGCTACTTGAGAGGCAAAGGCAGAGGTGCCAGAATCACCTGAGCCCAGATGCTCAAGGCTACAGGGCACTGTGATTGCGCCACTGCACTCCAGCCTGGGTGATGCAGCACGACCCTGACTCCAAATAATAATAATAATTACAAGAAGGAAAGACCTAGAACACCAGGTTAGGGTTAAGTATTCTAAAATTTAGCTGACTTACTCTACTCTGTTCTCTATAAAACAGGTTGCCACAGAAAATATAGCATGCCCAGTTAATTTGAAATTTCAGATAAACAAATACTTTTTTCAGTGTAAGTATATCCCATGCAATATTTGGGACATGGTTATACTAAAATATTATTCCTTGTTTATCTGAAATTGAAATTTAACGGGGTATTACATAATTATAGCAGCCTGACCATAAAAGATATGTACGCTGAGCAAAATTCTACTTTAAACTTCAAGCTTTGTAATAAATGCATTATTAACCAAGAACTATTGTTTACTGAGACCTGTGTAGATCCCCATATTTATCTTTTTAAATGTGGAACTAGGAAAGCTACATAAAAAACATTTATAGAAATAAATGACTGTTCTATAGCTGAAAGGAAAACTCTAGCTTTTATTTTTCTCCCCAAACCTAAGCTTTATTCTACATTTGTATAAACAATAAAATTACAGCTCAACTTTGGAAGCACAAATCATAATATAAAAATAAAACAAAGATCCCAGAAATATTTAACAGGCAACAAATCTTTCACATCATCTTACTATAGCAACTAAACATATAATAACTTAGAATCATCCATTAATTATAAGTAAAGAATAAATTCTTTTACAAAGCATAACTATTAATATTATTGACGATCATAAGAGCAAATATTTTAAGTAAAGCACCATGAATACTTCACAGAAAGGAGCGAGTTGCAGACACAGTCATTCTTGGATTTCTTTCAACAGCAGGCTTTCTTCCCTTTTGTCCTGAACTGGGAGTTGAATATTTCCTCTCTTTCCTCTCTGACCCTCTAGTCTCTGAAGCATCTTTTGTACGAGAGGTATGTGGAGAGACTTCCTGGAAATTTGGATTTGTAAATTGTGCTGTTGTATCTTCTAGGCACTGCAGTGATCCAGATATAGAGCCGTTGCTCTTGCTTCTATAAGTGTAATATTTTGATTCAAAAAAGGAAGCAAAAGGAAGAGAGTTGATTACATTTTGGTACTGACATTAATAATAATAAATAATAATTGTACTTGTAATATAAACATCTGAAAGTTTTAGTTCTAAGAACGGCTGTCCACATAAGAAAATTATGTAAAAATAATTAATGTCTATTATAATTACTTTTCTCTAACCAAAGAAAAAGTACAATTTAAAGACGGCTGTTTAAGGATCAAATTGCAACAACTGGTAAAATAGATATTAGTCATATTTATTAAGTGACACACAGTGATACTGAAGGCACTTATTTCTCAAGAAACATCATTGTTTTTCCCAAAAAGAACATACTACATCCTAGACATGAAATGAAAATAAGGTTTAATTTTCACCACGGGAGGGCAACAATAAGAGAACTGAGGTGGTACAGATCCATTAGAGGACCATATCCATGATTCTATCAGTCTCTACTGTAGGACAGAGCAATAATTTTTTAAAAATCTCGGTGAAGGCTCCTTTTCAAAAAAATACAAAGATTAAAGCCTTTGAAACGTAAATTATTTTTTCCAGTTATTACATTGAGAACAAAGTTATATTTGCAAAGTTAAGATTTTTATAACTATCCCTAAAACTGATTCTCAGTGACTCCCTTGATCTACATATGTTAAGGAAAAAGGCAAGATGAAGATGTGTTAAATATTTTCCAATTTTTAATAATCGCTTTAATATAAGGTATACCCAAATAATGGTGAATTAAATGACCATGAAAGTACGTTATAGCAGATGCCCACTCATCAGTATGCCTTGAAATTAAAGGTTTATAAGGTGCATAAGGGCAAAGTTTTTGATGTTGCCATTACGTTCACAAAAGTATCTCAGGCACATACAGCATGAAGTTCAGTAAGTGCTTGCAACATAAGCAGCACTAAATTTTGTTGAATAAATAAATACTTTTGTATAGCATCTGTTCAAAATCTCTGAAGTAAAAATGAAAATAATCTGAAAATATGCAAAACCGAAATTTCCCATATAGGACTGCCAATTCATACAAACAATAAGATGAATTTCAAAAGGAGAACATGACAGTAAAATCAAGTTTCAAAATGACTGGTCTTTTTTAGAAAAACCCATGTTCAAAAAAAGGAATAAGACATCAAATGTTTTGAGAACCAAAATTTTACTGCTGCTTTTCTAACACCCTGTTGCTAACCTGAGCCCCCATCCTCTTACTGTCAATAACAGATTTTCATGATAAAATACAAGAAACAGGCCCAATGCCTGTTAATAACAGATTTTCATCATCAAATACAAGAAACAGGCAGGGCACGGTGGCTCACACCTGTAATCCTAGCACTTTGGGAGGCTGAGGAGGGTGGATCACTTGAGGTCAGAAGTTTGAGACAAGCCTGGCCAACATGGTGAAGCCTCATCTCTACTAAAAATACAAAAATTAGCTGGGTGTGGTGGGAGGTGCCTGTAATCCCAACTACTCAGGAGGCTGAGTCACGAGAATCGCTTGAACCTGGGAGGTGGCGGTTGCAGTGAACTGAGATTGAGCCACTGTACTCCAGCCTGGGCGACAGAGCAAGACTCTGCCTTAAAAAAAATAAATAAAAATACAAGAAACATCTCATAAAAACTAAATAATCACTGTTCTAACAAACCACAATCCACGAACAAGAATGGAAGTTTCAAAAGTAAGTTGTTTAAAAGAAACAAAATTTCATTTTACAAACCACTCACTTTTAAGCTGATAAAACTCCATGGCTTCCTTAAGAAACAAGAGCCTTTCGATGCTGAGCAGGGCAGTTTTGAAACTACCCCACCTCATTTTTCAGTACTTTTTCCAAATACTTGAGTTGATCCTGAGGTTCTCTATTTCTCTCATATTTGATCCTTTCATGACTTACTGAAGTTGAAAAGTTATTTAAGAAAACACAGTGGTGTTCTTCACTCATGTAATTTGTTCATGTATCAAAGGATGGAGACAAAGCTGGATGAAATGCTACAAAATTAAACTTACTCTTCACTTCCACATGACAATATAAATTCGGGAGGATTAATTTTCCCATTTATTTAACAGAACATCCTTGCTCACACTCTAAAGTAGAAATCTGTTCATGAAACCAATGAAAGCATGATATTTGGAAGAAATGGTATTACAAAGAAAGCAATGAATGAAGCAATCAAATTGCAGTGACAAAAATCATATAAATAACACCACTACGGAGCATTTTAAAAAATCTACACTTAAGTTAAAAAAAACTATTAGACTTAATACAAAAAAATGAATTTTTGCTTCAGATGTTAGCAATTTTTAAAAATTATACATAATGAACACCCCCCAAAGGCAATGTAGGGTTCATTTAAAGAAGAACCCATACTTTCAAAGAAGAACCTCTATTTCTCTGTTTGAATGTAAATTTAAAAGTACTTGTTTCATAATGTGCTGTTGAGACAATATGACATTGGGAAATTCCATTATAAATATACAAAAATCAACTCAAAATCAAGGAGAAGATAGCGATGAAAGGAGAGGGAGAGGGGAAGTGGCTGAAAGACACACAGTGAGTAATCCCAAGACTACATTCACAAAATCTTGTTTTCTCACTTTCACATCCTAAATGCCTCTCAGAGTATGAACATCTCACTGCTCTGAGTGTAATTCTCATGCTTAAAATTTTATTTTTGAAGCACGTTAGATGATAAAATGCAAACTATTTGGTACTCAACTGTTCTTTTCTACTAGAGAGAAACCTGGATATTTGTCATTATTGAGAGTCTCTAAAGTACTGCATAAATACTTTGGTCTACATTGTGATTTACAGGCAACTTAATGAATCTTTTGAAAGGGTAATTTAGAAATATGTGATTTTTGCTTCATGGCCAACTATAATTATTAGTCCTCTAGTAAGCAGCAACACAAATATACCTACTCAATAGCATTAAGTGGGAACAAAAAATATTTCCTACTTTAAACAAAATTTAAAGCTAGATTCAGAATTAAATAATGACTCTATAATATGTAAACAAAAAAGCAGTTATGATTTTTTTAAACGTGTTATGGAGTCTTACAAGGCTTAGATGAGTCTGCAAGTCTCTGTCATCTGCATTGGTAAGAGTGAGGCAGAAAAAAGAGGAACAGCCAAGAGCTTTCCTTCAAACATGAGTAAACATAGTGTGTTGGTTAAAATTTTTAAATAAAATTTGGTACTATTTAAATGTCTCAAGAAAGCCACAGAGTCACACCAGGCTAACCCTGCGAACACAGTAGAAACCAACCAGCATAAATCACAGAAAGAAAGTACACATTAAAAAAAAAGATCAGTGAGCTGTAGAACAACTTTTAGTAGCATAACTTACATGTTACTGGAATACCCAAAGGAGAATAAACAGAACAAAAGCTTAAAAAGCCCCAGAAAATTGAAGAAATAATAGTAGAAAAAATACAAAATTGATGAAAACAATAAACCCACAGTTTTAAGAATCTCAAATAACCTCAAGCACAAGAAATGTGAAGAAAACTATACGAATGCAGTTCACTTTCAAACCACTTATCACTAAAAAACCAAAGATAAGTAGAAAATATTAAAAAAAAAAACCAGGATTTTTTTAAGGATGTCTTATGCGCTAAAAAAAAAAAAAAAAAAAAAAAAAAAAATGAGAGAAAAATTTTCCACAGGAATGTCTTAATCTAGTAAACAGAAGTGTACTGAAAAATCTAGAAAACAGAAGACTAGGTGAAGCCAAGATGGCCGAATAGGAACAGCTCCAGTCTACAGCTCCCAGCGTGAGCGATGCAGAAGATGGATGATTTCTGCATTTCCAACTGAGGTACCAGGCTCATCTCACTGGGGAGAGCTGGAAAGTGGGTGCAGGACAGTGGGTGCAGTGCACCGTGCATGAGCCGAAGCAGGGAGAGGCATCATCTCACCCGGGAAGTGCAAGGGGTCAGGGAATTCCCTTTCCTAGTCAAAGAAAGGGGTAACAGACAGCACCTGGAAAATCGGGTCACTCCCACCCTAATTGTAAAGACCGTCAAGGCTAGGAAGAAACTGCAGCAACTAACGAGCAAATAATCAGTTAACATCATAATGACAGGATCAGATTCACACATAACTATATTAACTTTGAATATAAATAGACTAAATGCTCCAATTAAAAGACACAGAATGGCAAATTAGATAAAGAGTCAAGACCCATCAGTGTGCTGTATTAAGGAAACCTATCTCAAGTGCAGAGACACACATAGGCTCAAAATAAAAGGATGAAGGAAGATCTACCAAGCAAATGGAAAACAAAAAAAGTCAGGGGTTGCAATCTTAGTCTCTGATAAAAAAGACTTTAAACCAAGAAAGATCAAAAGACACAAAGACGGCCATTACATAATGTTAAAGAGATCAATTCAACAAGAAGAGCTAAGTATCCTAAATATATATGGACCTAATACAGGAGCACCCAGATTCATACAGCAAGTCCTGAGTGACCTACAAAGAGACTTAGATACCCACACAACAATAAGGGGAGACTTTAACACCACACTGTCAACATTAGACAAATCAGCGAGACAGAAAGTTAACAAGGATACCCAGGAATTGAACTCAGCTCTGAACCAAGTGGACCTAATAGGCATCTACAAAACTCTCTACCCCAAATCAACAGAATATACATTTTTTTCAGCACCACACCACACCTATTCCAAAATTGACCACATCGTTGGAAGTAAAGCTCTCCTCAGCAAATGTAAAAGAACAGAAATTATAACAAACTGTCTCTCAGACCACAGTGTAATCAAACTAGAACTCAGGATTAAGAATCTAACTCAAAACTGCTCAACTACATGGAAACAGAACAACGTGCTCCTGAATGACTACTGGGTACATAACAAAATGAAGGCAGAAATAAAGATGTTCTTTGAAACCAACGAGAACAAAGACACAACATACCAGTATCTCTGGGACACATTCAAAGCAGTTTGTAGAGGGAAATTTATAGCACTAAATGCCCACAAGAGAAAGCAGGAAAGGTCCAAAATTGACACCTTAACATCACAATTAAAAGAACTAGAAAAGCAAGCGCAAACACATTCAAAAGCTAGCAGAAGGTGAGAAATAACTAAAATCAGAGCAGAACTGAAGGAAATAGAGACATAAAAAACCCTTCAAAAAATTAATGAATCCAGGAGATGGTTTTCTGAAAGGATCAACAAAATGGATACACTGCTAGCAAGACTAATAAAGAAGAAAAGAGAGAAGAATCAAATAGACGCAATAAAAAATGATAAAGGGGATATCACCACCAATCCAATAGAAATACAAACTACCATCAGAGAATACTACAAACACCTCTATGCAAATAAACTAGAAAACCTAGAAGAAATGGATAAATTCCTCGACACATACACCCTCCCAAGACTAAACCAGGAAGAAGTTGAATCTCTGAATAGACCAATAACAGGAGCTGAAATTGTGGCAACAATCAATAGCTTACCAACCAAAAAGAGTCCAGCACCAGATGGATTCACAGCCAAATTCTAGCAGAGTTACAAGGAGGAACTGGTACCATTCATTCTGAAACTATTCCAATCAATAGAAAAAGAGGGACTCCTCCCTAACTCATTTTATGAGGCCAGAATCATCTTGATACCAAAGCCTGGCAGAGACACAACAAAAAAAGACAATTTTAGACCAATATACTTGATGAACATTAGTGCAAAAATATTCAATAAAATACTGGCAAACCGAATCCAGCAGCACATCAAAAAGCTTATCCACCATGATCAAGTGGGCTTCATCCCTGGGATGCAAGGCTGGTTCAATATACACAAATCAATAAATGTAATCCAGCATATAAACAGAACCAAAGACAAAAACCACATGATTATCTCCATAGATGCAGAAAAGGCCTTTGACAAAATTCAACAACCCTTCATGCTAAAAACTCTCAATAAATTAGGTTTTGATGGGACATATCTCAAAATAATAGCTATCTATGACAAAACCACAGCCAATATCATACTGAATGGGCAAAAACTGGAAGCATTTCCTTTGAAAACTGGCACAAGACAGGGATGCCCTCTCTCACCACTCCTATTCAACATAGTATTGGAAGTTCTGGCCAGGGAAATTAGGCAGGAGAAGGAAATAAAGTGTATTCAATTAGGAAAAGAGGAAGTTAAATTGTCCCTGTTTGCAGATGACATGATTGTATATCTAGAATACCCCATTGTCTCAGCCAAAATCTCCTTAAGCTGATAAGCAACTTCAGCAAAGTCTCAGGATACAAAGTGAATGTACAAAAATCACAACCATTCTTATACACAAATTATAGACAAACAGAGAGCCAAATAATGAGTGAACTCCCATTCACAATTGCTTCAAAGAGAATAGAATACCTAGGAATCCAACTTAAAAGAGACGTGAAGGACTTCTTCAAGGAGAACTACAAACAACTGCTCAATGAAATAAAAGAGGAACCAAACAAATGGAAGAACATTCCATGCTCATGGGTAGGAAGAATCAATATCATGAAAATGCCCATACTGCCCAATGTAATTTATTGATTCAATGCCATCCCCATCAAGCTACCAATGACTTTCCTCACAGAATTGGAAAAACTACTTTAAGGTTCATATGGAACCAAAAAAGAGCCCGCATAGGCAAGTCAATACTAAGCCAAAAGAACAAAGCTGGAGGCATCACGCTACCTCACTTCAAACTATACTACAAGGCTACAGTAACCAAAACAGCATGGTTCTGGTACCAAAACAGAGATATAGACCAATGGAACAGAACAGAGCCCTCAGAAATAATGCCGCATATCTACAACTATCTGATCTTTGACAAACCTGAGAAAAACAAGCAATGGGAAAAGGATTCCCTATTTAATAAATGGTGCTGGGAAAACTGGCTAGCCATATGTAGAAAGTTGAAGCTGGATCCCTTCCTTACACCTTATACAAAAATTAATTCAAGACGGATTAAAGACTTAAATGTTTCACCTAATACCATAAAAAACCTAGAAGAAAACCTAGGCATTACCATTCAGGACATAGGCATGGGAAACGACTTCATGTCTAAAACACCAAAAGCAATGGCAACAAAAGCCAAAATTGACAAATGGGATCTAATTAAACTAAAGAGCTTCTGCACAGCAAAAGAAACTACCATCAGAGTGAACAGGCAACCTACAAAATGGGAGAAAATTTTCACAACCTACTCATCTGACAAAGGGCTAATATCCAGAATCTACAATGAACTCAAACAAATTTACAAGAAAAAACAAACAACCCCATCAAAAAGTGGGCAAAGGATATGAACAGACACTTCTCAAAAGAAAACATTTATGAAGCCAAAAAACACATGAGAAAATGCTCATCATCACCGGCCATCAGAGAAATGCAAATGAAAACCACAATGAGATACCATCTCACACCAGTTAGAATGGTGATCATTAAAAAGTCAGGAAACAACAGGTGCTGGAGAGGATGTGGAGAAATAGGAACATTTTACACTCTTGGTGGGACTGAAAACTAGTTCAACCATTGTGGAAGTCTGTGTGGTGATTCCTCAGGGATCTAGAACTAGAAATACCATCTGACCGAGCCATCCCATTACTGGGTATATACCCAAAGGATTATAAATCATGCTGCGATAAAGACACAAGCACATGTATGTTTATTGCAGCGCTATTTACAATAGTGAAGACTTGGAACCAACCCAAATATCCAAGAATGATAGACTGGATTAAGAAAATGTGGCACATATACATCGTGGAATACTATGCAGCCATAAAAAATGAAGAGTTCATGTCCTTTGTAGGGACATGGATGAAGCTGGAAACCATCATTCTCAGCAAACTATCACAAGGATAAAAAACCAAACACCGCATGTTCTCCCTCAGAGGTGGGAATTGAACAATGAGAACACTTGGACACAGGAAGGGGAACATCACACACTGGGGACTGTTGTCGGGTGGGGGGACGTGAGAGGGATAGCATTAGGAGATATACCTAATGCTAAATGACGAGTTAATGGGTGCAGCACACCAACATTGCACATGTATACATATGTAACAAACCTGCACGTTGTGCACATGTACCCTCAAACTTAAAGTATAATAAAAAAAAGTCAAGAAACAACAGATGCTGGCAAAGCTGTGGAGAAATAAACACTTTTACACTGTTGGCAGGAATATGAATTAGTTCCATCATTGTGGAAGACAGTTTGGCGATTCTGCAGGGATCTAGAACCAGAACTACCATTTGACCCAGAAATCCCATTACTGGGTATGTATCCAAAGGACTATAAATCATTCTATTATAAAGATATATGCATGCGTATGTTTATAGCAGCACTATTCATAATAGCAAAAACATGGACTCAATCCAAATGCCCGTCAATGATAGACTGGATAAAGAAAATGTGGTACATACACACCATGGAATACTATGCAGCAATAAAAAGGAATGAGATCATGTCTTTTACAGGGACATGAATGAATCTGGAAGCCATGCAAACTAATACAGGAACAGAAGACCAAATACCGTATATTCTCACTCATAAGTGGGAGCTGAATAATGAGAACACCTGGACACAGGGAGGGGAACAACACACACTGGGGCCTGTCGTTGGGGACAGGGAGGGAGAGCATCAGGATAAATAGCTAAAGCGTGTGGGGCTTAATACCTAGGCGATGGGTTGATAAGTACAGCAAATCATCATAGTGCACGTTTACCCATGTAACAAACCTGCATGTCCTGCACATGTATCCTGGAACTTAAAATAAAATTTAAAAAAATAAAATAAAAGGAAAACAGAAGAGTACTGAAAATTGGCTCACACTTCCACAGCCTGTACAGCAAGCATGATGCTGACATCTGCTCAGCTTCTGGGGAGGCCTCAGGAAACTTAACAATCATGGTGGAAGGTAAAGCAAGAGCAGGAGGAAAAGAGAGAGGGGGAAGGTCCTACACACTTTAGCAACAAGATCTCATGAGAACTCCATCACAAGAGCAGCGCTAGGGGGATGATGCTTAACCATTAGAAACTGCTTACATGGACAAACCACCTCCCAGCAGGCCCCATCTCCTACAGTGGGAACCACTGGAAGCTGCTCCCATGGACCAGCCACCTTCCAGCAGGCCCCGTCTCCAACACTGGGAACGACTGGAAACTGCTCCCATGGACCAGCCACCTCCCAGCAGGACCCATTTCCAACACTGGGGATTACATTTCTATATAAGTTTCCAATAATTTTGGAATACATACTAATAATATATTTATAAAAATATGGTCCAAAGTAGACAAAACACCATTCACTCTTCTATTTGAAAGTTTTCCTTCTATTCTATTGTCACAATCTCCAGCGTTATTAATCAGAATCCTGCATTTAAGGGCATCTGTTAAATTTTATAGCTGATTATAAAACCATCATTTAAAGAGGACCAAAATGAGACAACTGTCTGTGGATGACAAAATCATTAAAGGCAGCCACAGTTGAAGACACGAACAACAACCTTTAAAGTAGAATTTGCTGTAGAGCCTATTATGAGGGGGACATTTCTAGTTATTACCTCTTTTATTCTAAACCATGGAAAAAGGACCTATCAAATAAAGTCCTTCTAGAAGAGTGAAGGGCTCCTGGCAATGTTCTCTTTAATCCATGATGTGGGATAAGGGGAGTTTTGACTGATTATGAGGCAATGTAGATGCCACTAAAGTTTCAACACCCTAAAAGGAAAAAAAAAGGAGGGAGGGAAGTCCTGGAAGAACCAGATGGAGCCGTAGCAGAAGACGATTTCAATCCACTGACCCCTGAATTGTGGGCTGGTTGTGCTGCATCGCTCTGCGACTTATGGTTCTGCCACAACAAAGATCTAATTCCCAGGGTTATAGGAAAAGACACCTGCGGTACCCCTGAGGCACAGAGAAGGGATAAATCCAAACCTGACTTAAGTCTAGGGTTCTTAAACCACACAATCTGCTCACAAGGAGGACCTTAACTCTGAAGATACTGATTTGGGGCTGTTTCAAATAAAAAAATTATAAGTATGAGTGGGAAAGAGAACAACCTTCCCCATATCCAGTGGCAAAAAAATGAGGGAGAGGGAAGGAAGGAAGGACGGAAGGAGGGAAGGAAGGAGAGAGGGAAGGAAGGAAGTAGGGAGGGAGGTAGGGATGGAAGGAAGGAAGGAGAGATGGAAGGGAGGAATGAAGGAAGGAGGGAAGGAGGGCAGGAAGGAATGAAGGAAAGGAGGAAGTAAGGAAAGGGAAGGAGGGAGGGAGGGAAGGAAGGAAGGTGAGAGGGAAGGAAGGAGAGAGGGAAGGAAAGAGAGAGGGAAGGAAGGAGAGGGAAGGAAGGAAAGAGGGAAGGAAGGAAGGAGAGAAGGAAGGAGGGAAGGAAGGAAGGAAGAAAGGAAGGGAAGGAACATGGATATGCACAAAAACAAAATTTAAATTAAAACGGAAGTCTATCATCTGACCTAACTGGAAATGTACTATCTTCTAAAACAATTTATACAGTCCAAAGATAAAAGGGTGCTGACTGGTATTTGTAACTCTCCAGCATATATTCTGAATCAATTTTAACATCTGCTGAAATCTACCAATTGGTATACCTTCACAAACTTAATCAATACTGGAGCTCAAACTTTGTTATACCTGAGATTTCACTAAATTTAAACTTTGCATCCCCTAATCCTAGCAGAGTAACTGCATATAGAATAGAGGACACATAGATATGCCTCATATTTGTTCCCTTGAGTAAATTTCCTGTAGTCATAGAAGAGTTTGTCCATAGGGGACATGGATGCTCTGACCTAATGAGTAACAAATTGAAATTAAACCATTTGCACTTACACATTGACTTCACAAATGTAACCTTACAGAACTCCCTCTCCTGTTTTTTTTTAAATTTGATTTATTTTTAATTTTTCATTTTTTTAGAGATGGGTTCTTGCTCCATTACCCAGGCTGTATGAAGTGCGGTGGCACAATCATAGCTCACTGCTGCCTCGAACTCCTGGGCTTAAGCAATCCTCCCATTTTAGCCTTCCAAGTAGCTGGGATTACAGGCATGCACCAACACAGCCAATTAAAAAAAAAATTATAGAAGTGCAGTCTTGCTACGTTGCCTAGGCTGGTCTCTAACTTCTGGCCCCAAGCAATCCTCCTGTCTCGGCCTCCCAAAGTGCTGGGATTACAGGTGTGAGCCATGGTGCCTAGCCTCCCCATCTTGATAAATTAGCAAATATGGTCCAACAGAAATTACACATGATTTCAAATAAATAAAACTTATTATATAAGACCTAATTAATTAGTGAAGGGGTGATTATCCTCATTGCTTCAACATTTAGCAGTAGAATTTGGCCTGTTCTTAAACCTGCAAAGAATAAATGGTGTTTCACAGTGGATTGCTGTAATGTGACTGCAGTGCTCCCATCCATTAGGGCCCTCGTACCCAATGCCAAATATTATTGTGGTTAATTTATTTTTTATTTCAATAGGTTTTTGAGGAATATGATGTTTTTTTTTATTTCAATAGGTTTTGGGGGAACAGGTGGTGTTTGGTTACATGAATAAGTTCTTTAGTGGCGATTTCTGAGATTTGTGGTGCACCCATCACCCGAGCAGAGTACACTATACCCAATATGTAGTGTTTTATCCCTCACCGCACCCACCTCACCACTCCCAGCCTTTCCCTGAGTCCCCGAAGACCATTGTATCATTCTTATGCCTTTGCATCCTTATAGCTTAGCTCCCATTTATGAATGAGAACATACAAGGTTTGGTTTTCCATTCCAAAGTTACTTCACTTAGAATAATGGTGTCCAGTTTCATCCAGGTTGCTGTGAATGCATTACTTCATTCCATCTTATGGCTGAGTAGTATTCCATGGTAAATATTTATAACACACTTTCTTTATCCACTTACTGATTGATGGGCATTTAGGCTGGTTTCAAATTCTTGCAATTGCATATTGTGCTGCTATAAACATGCGTGTGCAAGTATCTTTTTCATATAATGACTTATTTTCCTCTGAGTAGATACCCAGGAGTGGAATTACTGGATCAAATGATAGATCTGCTTTTAGTTCTTTGGAAATCTCCTCACTCTTTTCCATAGCTGTTGTACTAGCTTGCATTCCCTCCAAAAAGTGTAAAAGTGTTCCCTTTTTACCACAACCATGCCAACATCTATTAGTTTTTGATTTTTTGATTATGACCATTCTTGCAGGAGTGAAGGGGTTATCATATTGTATTGTGGTTTTGATTTGCATTTCCCTGATAATTAGTTATGTTGAGCATTTTTTCATGTGTTTGTTGGCCAGTTGTATATCTTCTTTTGAGAATTGTCTGTTCATGTCCTTAGCCCACTTTTTGATGGGATTTTTTTTTCTTGATGGTTTATTTGAGTTCCTTGCAGATTCTGGCTATTAGTCCTTTAATCAGAAGTACAGTTTGCAAAGATTTTCTCCCACTCTTTAGGTTGTCTGTTTACTCTGCTGATTATTTCTTTTGCTGTGCAGAAACCTTTTAGTTTAATTAAGTCTCATCTATTTATCTTTGTTTTAGTTGCATTTGCTTTTTGGGTTATTGGTCATGAAGTCTTTGCCTAAGCCAATGTCTAGAAGGGTTTTTCCAATGGCGTCTTCTAGAATTTTTATAGTTTCAGGTATTAGATTTAAGTCCTTGATCCATCTTGAGTTGATTTTTAAAAGGGTGAGAAATGAACATCCACTTTCATTATTCTATGTGCGGCTTGCCATTTATCCCAGCACCATTTGTTGAATAGGGTATTCTTTCTCTGCTTTATGTTTTTGTTTGCTTTGTTGAAGATTAGATGACTGTAAGTATTTGGCTTTATTTCTGGGTTCTCTATTATGTCCCATTGGTCTATATGGCTATTTTTATACCAGTACCATGCTGTTTTGGGGACTATGGCCTTCTAATATAGTTTGAAGTCGGCTTCTAGATTTGTTCTTTTTGCTTAGTCTTGTTTTGGCTATACAGATTCTTTTTTGGTTCTAGGCTTTTATTACCTTAAGGTATGTCCCTTCTATGTCTTTTTTAGTTCCATGTGAATTTTTGTAGTTCTGTGAAGACTGATGTTAGTACTTTAATGGGGATTGCATTGAGTTTGTAGATAGCTTTTGGCAGTATGGTATTTTCACAATATTGATTTTACCCATCCGTGAGCATGGGATATGTTTCCATTTGTTTGTATCTATGATTTCTCTCAGCAGTGTTTTGTAGTTTTCCTTGTAGAGGTCTTTTGTCTCTTTGGTTAAGTATTCCGGATATAATTAAGATTTTGTCTGCAAAGATTGCATGCAATTGACAATTATAGGAATATACTATTATAATTATAGGAATCATAATATTCCTCAGGTTTTTATTGCAGCTATTGTAAAAGGTGGTGAGTTTTTTATTTGATTCTCAGCTTGTTCACTGTTACAGTATAGCAGAGCCACTGACTTGTGTACCTTAATTTTGTATCCTGAAACTTTGCTGAATTCATTTACCAGTTCTGGTAGCTTTTGGGATGAGTCTTTAGGGCTTTCTAGGTTTACGATCATGTCATCAGCAAAGAGTGACAGTTCAACTTCCTCTTTACCGATTTGGATGCCCTTTATTTCTCTTATCTGATTACTCTGGCGAGGACTTCTAGTACTGTGTTGAATAGAAGTGGTGAAAGTGGGCATCATTGTCTTGTTCCAATTCTCAGGGGGAATGCTTTCAACTTTTCCCCATTCAGTGTAATGTTGGCTGTGTTTGTCATATATAGCTTTTATTACCTTAAGGTTTGTCCCTTCGATGTTGATTTTGCTGAGGGTTTTAATCATAAAGGGATGCTGGATTTTGTCAAATCCTTTTTCTGCATGTATTGAGATGATCACATGATTTTTGTTTTTAATTCTGTTTATATGGCCTATCACATTTATTGACTTGCAGATGTTTAACCGTCCTGCATCCCTGGTTTCTCTTCAGATCGTATACATCTTTCACCTTATGATGGTTAATTTTATTTGCCAAGTTGGGTTGCCTAGATATTTGGTTAAACACTCTGGATGTGTCTGTGAGGGTGTTCCTTGATGAGATGAACATTTGAATATGTAGAATTAGTAAAGTAGTTGCCCTTCCCAGTGTGAGCGGGCCTCATCCAATCCATTAAATCCCAAATAAAACACAAGGGTAGAGGAAGAGAGAATTCACTCTCTTTGATGCTTTCAGAGCTGAGACATAGATCTTCTCTCGCCTTTGAAGTCAGACGTGGACTGTAACTTATGCCATCAGCTTTCCTGGTTCTCAGGACTTTAGGCTTGGACTGGAACTCCACCATTGGCAGTCCTGGGTCTCCAGCTTGCTGACTGCAGGTCATGGGACTTGTGAGCCTCCATAACTACATGAGCCAATTCCTTATAATAAACCTATATATATTCATGCAACTGGAAATATTTTGTTGTTATATATTTAGCTAACATGATCTTTTTGGGCCTATTTTAACAGAGTCGCAGTCATAGCCTGCCTTCATCTCTGAAGGGACCAGGTAACACACGGAGTGCCTTGGCAGCCTCGTCATTGCATGCAATCTTCACAGACAATATCTCACTGCAGCCACCTTTCTACAGGAGTACAGGTGTGACATTATACTGATGACATCATTCTCAGAGAAAATTCATTTTACACACTGAAGATACACAGACACAAAGAGCCTTATACAAAGGGAATGGACCTTTCCCCAACACAGTAGTGCAAGGCCCTGCCACTTTGCTTCAATTCCTGAAAATTCCTTGGTAAACTTGGGGCTGCTCTATTCCTGACAGTTTCAAGAAATAGTTATTCATCCTCTCAGCATCCACAACGTTAATACAAGCCCAACATTCTTTAATTTGTGTTTTGTTTTTTGGAGACATAGTCTTGCTCTGTCACACAGGCTGGTATGAAGTGGCATGATCTCAGCTCACTGCAGCCTTGACCTCCCAACCTCAAGCAATTCTCCCATTTCAGCTTTCCAAGTAGCTAGGACTACAGGTGTGTGCCATGACACTCAGCTAATTTTGTTTATTTTTTTGTAGAGAAAAGCTCTCGCTATGTTACCCGGGCTGGTCTCGAACTCCTGGGCTCAAGAGATCCTCTGGCCTCGGCCTCCCAAAGTTCTGGGATTACAGGTGTGAGTCCATGTGCCCAGCCCTTTAATTCTTTACTTGGGGTTCAGGTGACTACACATTTCTTACTTACAAATTTTACTTAATCTCGCTGATGCTGTCACTTGAAAGCTGACCCACCTTGAATGAAGCCTCCTCCAACAAGTCTGGAATCCATCCGAATTTAAATTAACAGGCGCTCCTATGAATTCCATCAGAGAACACACTGTAGATGCTTTAGCAACCTCTTCCCATGCCTCCGAAGTATCTGGTTTGCATGTGGTGGCCATTAGTCATCCATGGGCTTCTGATGTAAAAAACAAACCTGCCTCTTTTGACCCTGTGCTGTACAGCATCAGGGCAGTGATTGCTGGCCACATACTGGACCCTTGAAACAGAGGGCTCTGCATCCATGTCCATGAGCCTTCATGCCCATCTGGCCATCAGGCCTTGGGAAGCAGCACCCCACAGCTTTGGCACAGCTGCAGTGACCTCCTTGCCTCCGAATGGAGTCAAATCTTTACACGATGCAATTCTCATCTGCAGGAAGCACTGGCCTCCTTCATCCTTAGGCTACAGTGCTGACACTGGCCTCCTTCATCCTCAGACTGTGGTGCCAGATGTCACCCCTCTGCGAGGCCCTTGGGATCGACTGAGTGACCAGCAGTGAAGTTTGTCAGCCTTCTGAATGGATGCCATGATCAGATGTGATGGAGCTCAGTGGGATTCTGCTGCTTTCCCTCCCTTAGCTAGGATGTCCCTGATAAAGGATGACACACAAGCCTCAGCACAACTGGCCAAACTTGAGGTGGTCATCATAGCACTGATGCTGGGCCAACAATTAACCCCACTTGTACCTTTTTACAAACTTTTTGACAATTGCCAAGAATTGTCCAGCTTCCCTCCCCATTGAATTAAATACACTTCTTGTCTCATGGATACTCAGAATACCAATCAAGGTAACAGATGCCTTTATTTTAACTAAGGACACGGTACAGATCTCACAGGGACACTCCTTATCCCTTGCAGAGTTCCAGACACTACTGATGGTCACCAAAGCAACATTTCATCAGAAAACACAGTGCTGGGCTTGTGAAGAAGGTGTCCAGCAGAGCTTCCACTGCTCCTGTAGGCTGCAGGAAGCTGCTTCAGTTGAGAGATACACTGAGCTCCTCAAAGAATTCCTATTTAAGGTACAAAGCAGCGAGTGGATGCCCTGCTGGATTCCACTATTGCCACAGGCTTTGATAACTCTAAGTTCATGCTCCTTAGGAAAGTGCACTTTTTACACCAATGCTAGACAGTTCCCTCAGTTGCCTTTACTGGACATCAAGGAGTTCACATTTTTGACAATCTTTCAGTCCTGAACTGTCCAAGGGGTGGAGGTAGCTCCATACAGGAAGCTGCCTGCTGCGTGTGGATCAGTAATATCAGACTTGCCCAACAGCTCACTGGAGACATGAAAACCCATGCATGGGGGATGCATGACGTCACCCAAATATTTACCACACGCTTGTGCTGCCAGAGACCCCAGATCACTTTTCCTGCCTCCTGCTAAACAAATGGGAGCAGTAGCTTCTCATCAGCCTCCACATTTCATTACTCATAATTGTGGCCTTCCTAATGTCTCATGCCCCTAAGCATTTATTACAATGTCTCAACAGCCTTCTCTCAGCCTCTCAAAATATTAGTCATCATTAAAATAAATGTCTGATGTTAAAGCATCAGGGTCAATTGTACTGTGACACCTAAAATTTCATGCTGCATCCCACCAGGTCCTCAGCCTAATGGCTTTCATGCCCCCAACAGACTGCTAAACTCTTTGAATTAGTCAAGCACATCCCTCAAGGGACAAGGGGTTACCCCACCCTCTGATTTCTACCAAGCCTGCCTCCCGCACCCTGTGCTCCAGAGTGAACCCCCGGGTAGACCTGCACAGATGCAGTGTCATCCCCTGTTGGGCTGAGTATGCGCGATGAATAAGTTACGGTGAATTTCGTCTACTCAGTGTTTGTTGTGTCTGCAGCCATCCCTAGAATTCTAGGGCAAGACTAATTTCTTCACCAATGACGTGAACAGGAAGGAACCCAACTAGGAATTGCCTTTTTTAAAAAATCCCTTCCCACCCTCTTAATTATGTAGTGCATGCATTTTATAGCTTTTTTGCTCATTCCATTATCTGAGGTCAGGCACTGATATTTAACCCATCTTTAGCCTCGGAGGAGGGCAGAGGAACAGGGGTCATATTTATTTCCCTAGTGGCAAAGACATGATTTCCTCCTGTGCCACTCAAATTCACTCCTTCTTTAACTTGATGCTCAGTAGGTTGTGTTTCACTTGTCTTTGCAGATTGTTAGGAAGACGAGACTCAGCTTTCATTTTTGATGTTGTCATAGAGAAGACTCTATGGTAATGCTTATTTTCACAGTCAACTTTCTCTTCTTTTCCCCCAGACAGAAATTGCAAACTCAGGTGAGTGACAGCTTTCTGGAGTCTGCAAACATAGATTATTTTCCCTCTTTTGATGGCAAATTTCTTATATCCCCACGAAAAATAAAATACTTACATATAATTTTGGCATGTCATATTGGTTGCCAACTACACGTAAAAACATTCCTTGATTTTAAATCTACATTAATTATAGAAACTTGGGTAGTCACAAAAAATTATAGTGTAAAAATTTATAGACCTCTTCTTAGGACTAAATGAGTTACTGTTAACTAATATTTATTGTGCAATTAGTGCATGGCAGAAGCTTCCTATGTACTATTTTATTTTATATGTAAAACAATATTCTATGCACAATGTTATAATCTCCCCGTGCCTCCAATTTGGACGTGATAAAACAGCGTCGTAAAGTTTTCACCCCAGAGTTCTCTGCTTAGTAAGAAGTAGAAGGAAGTCTAAACCTAAGTCATCTGATTTCAGAGCCCATATAATTAAATGCTCTAAATGCAGATTCCCAGGGTGGTGGTTTCTATGAGAGCCTGTCACATACGATGTAGGACACTGCTTCTCTGTAACGTGTGCAAGATTCCCTTGATGATGGTGACTATGAGAGCCTGTCACATACGATGTAGGACAGTGCTTCCCTGTAACAGGCGCAAGATTCCTGTGATGATGGTGACTATGAGAGCCTGTTACATATGACGTAGGACAGCACTTCTCTGTAACATGCACAAGATTCCCGTGATGATGGTGACTATGAGAGCCTGTCACATGTGATGTAGGACAGTGCTTCCTCTGTAACATGCACAAGATTCACCCGGGGATCTTATTAAAATGCAAACTCACAGACCACACTTTGACTAACTAAGATAAGAGCATTTAAATTGATGTCCTGGTGACAGTGCTAAGATGCTACTGTTCATGTGGGCACTGGCTCACCATATTAACAAAACTTAGGACTTCCAGTCCCTGCTGGAAAAGAAATACAGACACATAGGATGTGACTGTGCATATGGAAAGTCTGTTGTGTTCTGGACATTGTACTAGACACTAGAGATAAAAAGTCAAATATCCCTTGCCTCTATCTGAAAGGAGCTTCCTACTCAGTGGATTCTGACTGCAGTATATATTTTCTCTTCTGACCTGGGAGAGTGAGCTCTACCTCAATGTTGGTAATTGAACACTGCCCAGTGGATTTGACAGGGGAGACCACAGGTAGTTGTGTTCCTACATAGCTATGACCATAGTATATCTCATGATGCCATTTCCCCGTTGTCAAAAGGCTCCCTCCAGTATCATACACGCTCCCCATGATTATACATTCTTCTTCCTTCCACCAAATTTTCCTTAATCTTGTAAAGATAAAAACATAAACCACATTCTTGTCATATTAATTATATATTAATGATGAAAGTTCCTTACTTTTCATGTGTTTAATATTTTCTCCCAATTTATAGAATATATTGGTTAATATAAGAATAAATTTTAGCCATGCACATCTATTACAAACTTCATTTTATACTTTGCTATTTTTAAATTTCTTATGCTCTTATAAAACGTGTGTTCTGGACTCACGTTGGCTTCCATTTCTTCCCTCTGGCTTCTATTAGTTTAGGCTATGAGCATAGATGGAAGAGGTGGCTGTTGTATTGGATCAAGGATATGAGCAGAGATGGATGAGGCAGCGGCTGTAATGGTTCAAGGCTATGAACATCTTGTGAAGTAGGATGTTAAATCTGCAAATATCAGAGTGAATCCAAACTTATCAATTCAACACTGGATTGTAAAACAGCTCAAAAAAAGACTAAAAACACAGCTCTACACTTTAGGAGGTTGGGGCAGGCAGATTGCTCGAGCTCAGGAGTGGGAGACAAGTTTAGGAAACATGGAAAAACCCTGTCTCTAAAAAAAAAAAAAAAATTGAATTAGCTGGGTATGGTGGTATAAGCCTGTGGTTCCAGCTTCTCAGGAGGCTGAGGTGAGAGGATTGCTTGAGCCTGGAAGGTGAGGCTGCAGTGAGCTCTGATCACACCACTGCATTCCAGCCTAGGTGATAGAGTGAGACCCTGTCTTAAAAAAACAAACAAACAAACAAAAAACAAAAACAGCTATAAACGAATGTGGCTAGAAAAGTAGCTCAAGTTGTTCCTGTCTGGTGAAATACAAACATAAATGAATTATTTATGTGCCAGTGGCTTCCTGATGCTGAGAGCAAAGCCAGTTGTTCTGGCAGGTTCTGGAAAAATTTATCACCTCATGGGGTTCAATGCCAATGTCAAATCATAAATATAATAATCAAATCTGAAAGTGAACCCGGTTTCAGAGACATCCAGAAGCCACTGTGTATGAAGCTCCTTTCAGATAAAGAGAAGAGATTATTTGACTTCTTATCTCTGTTGTCTAGCACAATGTCCAGAACACAACAGATATTCCATATGCACAGTCACATCCTATGTATGTGTGTTTCTTTTCCAGCAAGGACTAGAGGTCCTAAGCTTTGTTTGTATGATGAGCCAGTGCCCAAATGAGCAGGAGGATCTTAGCACAGTCACCTACACACTCATTTCGATGCTCTGACCCCTTATCTTAGCTAGTCAAAGCGTGGTCTATGAGTTTGCATTTTAATAAGATCCCCTGGTGAATCTTGTGCATGTCAAAGGAAGAGAAGAACTGCCCTCAAAATATAGAGCAGGTGAACTAAATTATTAACTTATAGAGGTAGGCTGGCTATTTATTTATGTATCTTGTTGATGGGAAGATTCAAATTGATATACACAATCACCCCCATAAGGATTTCAGGTAAAAAACAAACAAACAAAGGTTTAGATGTTAGATATATTTTACAATTACCACACTAGTCTTTTTACTACAGCATCTAGTAACACATTTCCCATAGATCTAGATGGAAATTTTCATCCCATAAGCCTTTGTTAGTATTTTTAAAATTGAATACTCAATAAATAGTGGCCAAGTTGAATCTCTTAGAGGAATCTCACTCAAACTACAGTCATATTTTCCAATAGGCCCCACAAAAATCATTGCTCTAGAGTAATCTAATATATTTATCCACCTCTTTAGACACTTAGGTAAGTATAATAATACAAGTTTTGTGCGTGTGTGTGTATTGTGTACCTTGTGGCCTCTTGCCCAGTTTCTGCAACACCTGAAGCTGATACATGTTTAATGTAAATAATGTCCAGCAATGTTACAAATGTTGACTTTTATATGCCCATCAGGAAAAAAAAGATGAATGTTATTGTAGAGGAAATTTTCATTCTGGAAAAAATGCATACTATTTGAATATTATTTTCATGATTTCCACAGATATTACACACAGATATTATATTCCAAGGATTATGTTTAAAGTCATCAAAAATAGAAAATACATCTATATTTCTAACTGAAAATAATAACAGTAAGTAGCCCACCTTTGGGGAAATGTAATAAAAATATTAATGACCATCACAACTCATTAAAAGCATAAATTGTGCAATGATTTAAACTACATGTTCTTCATATGAATGTGTGTAGAAATGTAGACACATTGGATAAATGCTATTTAAAGTCTGAGTGCGTTGGTAAATGATTCAGTCATCTGTAGGTTGAAGTGATTACTTTTATCTGCCTTCATAGTGAGAATTAGATTTCTATTCTTTGTAAAGCAGGGAATACAGATTGTGCATGGAGTAAAAGAACTCAATCCTTATTAATAATGATGGTAGCTGCGCTGCATAAAAGAAAGCCTGTCAGAGTAACTTATTCAGTTTTACATCATAATCAGAGGTGTGTCCATCTCTGTTGAAGGCAGAATTAAAAACCCCTTCAACATTTTTAAAATAATAGATGAAAAACATCTCAAAGTCTCCTTTAAAATTTGAATTGACGATTCCACATAAAAGGAAGGGACCAAAAATATCTTAAAGAAATACTTCACGATGGAAGTGATGTTTTAAGTGAAATTTCATCAAGGAGAAGTTTTTCCAAAAAGTATTTTTACCTCAGGAAGAATCTCATTAGTTTATTCTGTAAATAGTTCCTAGTAAAATGATAAAGACTTGATTTTTCAAAAACAATAAAAAACTTACACGGTTTAATCTAATGTTGTGATTTCGAAAGTGCTTCTTCTGCAATCATAGTTATGCGTGTGTATTTATATGCATTTTCTTAGCTCATTCAAACGCCAATAAAATACTATACTATCCAGGTTCCTTAAAAGCTGAATTAAGTTCTAAAAGTGAGGATTGTATGTACTCTGTGAGGTGTGCGCAGATGTATGTGTGTGATGTATATGTATGGTGTGTGTGTGTGTGGTCTGTGTGTGTAGTAAGTGCATGGGGTACGTATATGTGTGTGTGGTGTGTACTGGAGGTGTCGTGTGAATACTGTGGGTTGTGTATGGTGTGTGTATGTGCTGTGTTTGTGGTGTATGTGTGTGGTGTGTATGTGTACTATGTGTGGTATGGTGTGCTTGTGATATGTGTGTGTGCAGTGTGTGTGGTGTATGTGATGTGTGTGTTTTTTGTGTGTATGGTGCTGTGTGTGCAGTGTGTGTAGTGTTTGATGTGTGCGTAGAATGTGTGTGTGGAGTATGTGTGTGGCGTGTGTGGTGTGTGTGTGCACAGTGTGTGTGGCGTATGTATGTGATGTGTGTGCTCTGTGTGTGTGTGTGTAGTGTGTGTGGTGTCTGGTGTGTGTGTGCACATGGTGTGGTGTATGCAGTGTGTGGTGTCTGTATGGGGTGTGTGCATGTGCACATGCTGTGTGTGCAGTGGGTGTGGTGTGTGTGGGGTGTGTGCAGTGGGTGTGGGGGGTGTGTGTGCATGTGCACATGGTGTGTGTGCTGTTTGGTTTCTGTGGGGTGTGTGTGCATGTGCACATGGTGTGTGTGCAGTGTGTGGTGTCTGTGGGGTGTGTGTGCGTGTGCACATGGTGTGTCTGCTGTTTGTGTGGTGTCTGTGTGTGGGGTGTGTGTGCGTGTGCACATGGTGTGGTGTGTGCGGTGTGGTGTGTGCAGTGTGTGTGCTATGAATGACTGCTTCTCTGAGCATGTGGACATCAGTCTTCCAGACCAGCTTTCTCCATGTGTCTGGGAACAAAAGAAAAAAGTTTCTGCAATAATTGTTATGCGACTTTCCCAGAGAGGGACCACATTTCTGTCTTGAGTGGGTGTCTGCGTCATTTCGCAGGAGGGTATGTGATGTCCTGGCTTGGCTCACACCCTCTGTGGGTTTAGGCAGGGTTCCTGCTGGATCCCTCACTGTGGCCAGAGAGGGAGGGCTCTGTTTCACCACAGGGCACCAGAAGAGGACTGGTGTGTGGGAAGACCAGGTAATCATAATACTATTAATAATAGCAGTAATCATACTGTTTTATACATTGTACATGTCATAAGGATTTTAATTTTCATGTAACATAATTGTTGTAAAAATTTTCCCAGTTTGTTTTGTGCTATTTACCTGGTGTTGAAATGTGTAAGAATTTACATTTTAGGTACGTTAGGTTTATTCCTTTTTATAAGGTTTCTGTTTGAAATTTTGATTTTAGAAGACATTCATTCTCAAGGACGTAAAACACACATACATCTAATTTTTTTTTTTCTCTCTCTCTTTTTTAACATTTAATACTGGAATTAACTTTTATGCAAGGTGTGGGACCATGATTCAATTCTATCATTTTATATTCTCAAATCATTACCCAGTATTTTAATACCATAAATGGAACAATCGCTCTTGTTTTGTGAATTTAAAACGTTACCCTGTTACTAGATAAAATTACACTCAATTTCTGTGCTTTTAGTTCTCTTTCATTAATGTGTTTATTTTTGTGCCATTTCAAATTTGTTTACTTTGAATAGTAATAATTTTAATATCTTATAGTAAATTTTATAATATTGGCTCTCATGTGTGTGCTCAACAGACGAATTTAAAATCACATTTTCTTGTTCAAAAACATTTTTCTTGGAATTTTTATTGGAATTTGAGCATATTTTTAAATGATTTACAGCAAAGTAAAGAGTTAATATTATTGAGTCATCTCATCCAGAATGTGACTCACAAATTACTCAAACCTCCTTTAATGCCATTTAGTCAAAATTAATATGTTACATCAATATAAATTAGTATAAATGAATATAAATAATCATTAAAATAATATGTTTGGCTGCACGTTTCTGTCTTCTGCCTTGTATCACTGACGTTTTATTTCTATCCTTGTTTTCTATAGTTTCTGTTATTATGTTTTTTTCTATCTTGTGATTTGAAAACTATATGACACATTGTAATGTTTTAATTTCTCTAATTTTTGGCTTTCAATTTTAACTAATTTTATTTTTTAGAGAAGTGCAGGTTCACAACTAAACGGAGCAGAGAGGACAGGCTTCCCATATGTCCCTTTCCCCGCACACAGCCTCCCCACTACAGCTTCCTGCCTCACAGGAGCACACCTGTGACAACCAGAAACCTACCTTGACCCTTCATTATCACTCAAAGCTTACAGTGCACATTCACGTTTACTCTTCACTCTGTACATTGTGAGTCTTGAAAAAAGTATAATGTGAATGGGATATTATTCACTGCTAGCAAGAGATGATCTATCAAGCCAGAAAAAAATACATGGAGGAAACTTAAAAGCATATTACTAACAGAAGAAGCCAATCCGAAAAGTCTATGTACTGTTCGATTCCAATTATATGACATTCTGGAAATGGTGAAACCATGAGAACAGTAGAAAGATCAGTGGCTGCCATGGACCAAGGAGAAGGAAGAGATGGATACACAGAGCACAGAGAATCTTCACGGCAGTAAAACCATTCTGTATGACACTATAATGATAGATATATATATTTGTAAAAATCTATCTTAATTTTTAATCTTTTAAATTATTCTTTTTTGACGGAGTCCTGCTCTGTGACCAGGCTGGAGTGCAGTGGCATGATCTCGGCTCACTGCAACCTCTGCCTCCCGGGTTCAAATGATTCTCCTGCCTCAGCCTCCCGAGTAGCTGGGACTAGAGGTGCCCGCCACCACGCCCGGCTAGATTTTTTAATTTTAGTAGAGACCAGGTTCACCATCTTGGCCAGGCTGCTCTCGAACTCCTGACCTCGTGATCCACCTGCCTCGGCCTCCCAAAGTGCTGGGATTACAGGCGTGAGCCACCACGCCCGGCCGTTTTTGTTTTAAAAACTACAGACAAGCTGGGTGCAGTGGCTCAAGCCAGTAATGGCTTCACTTTGGGAAGCTGAAGTGGCTGGATTGCTTTCAGCCCCGGAGTTCAAGACCAGCTTGGCAACATAGTGAGACCCCGTCTCTGCAAAAAAAAAGTATTAAAAAAAATAGCTGGCTGGGCGCGGTGGCTAACACCTGTAATTCCAGCACTTTGGGAGGCCGAGGCAGGCAGATCACGAAGTCAGGAGATTGAGACCATCCTGGCTAACATGGTGAAACCCCATCTCTACTAAAAATACAAAAAAATTAGCCGGGCCTTGTGGTGGACCCCTGTAGTCCCATCTACTCGGGAGGCTGAGGCAGGAGAATGGCATGAACCCGGGAGGCGGAGCTTGCAGTGAGCCAAGACCACGCCACTGCACTCTGGCCTGGGCGAAAGAGCGAGACTCCATCTCAAAAATAAATAAATAAATAAATAAATAAAAATAACCAGGCATAGTGTTGCATGCCGGTTGTCCCAGCTACTCAGGAGGCTGTGGTAGAAAAATCACTTGACCCAGCAGTTAGAGGCTGCAGTGAGCTATGATCATGTCACTGCACTCTGTCCTGGGCGACAGAGCGAAACCCCATCTCAAAACAAGGAACAAACAAAAACCTACAAGCATACTCAGAGATAGTGTGGGTTTGGTTCCAGACAACCGCAATAAGGCAAATGTTACAATCAAGTTAGTCACATAAACATTTTGTCTCCCAGTGTTTATAAAAGTTATGCTTAAACTATGTTGTAGTCTAATGAGTATTTAATAATTAATTATCAATTAGTTAATTAATTAGTAACCGCATTAAGTCTAAAAATCTATGTACATACTTTAACTTAAAATTCCTCATTGCTGAAAGATACTAATGAATATCTGAGCCTTACCAAGTCATAATCTTTTTGCTGGTGAGGGTCTTGCCTCTATATTGATGGCTGCTGACTGATCAGAATGGGGGCTGCTGAAGGTTGGATGCCTGTGTCAATTTCTTAAAACAACGAAGTTTGTTCCTCTCACAAAAGATTTCCCTGTAGCATGTGATGTTGTTTGATAACATTTTATCCACAGTAGAACTTCCTTCAAAATTGGAATAAACCCTCTCAAACCCTGCTGCTGCTTTATCAACTAGGTTTATGGAATATTCTAAATCCTTTGTTGTTATTTCAACAATGTTCATAGCATCTCCGCCTGGAGTAGATTCCACCTCAAGAAAATATTTTCTTTGCTCGTCCATAAGAAGCAACTCCCCATTTGTTCGAGTTTCATCATGAGTTCAGAGCAATTTAATCTCATCTTAAGGCCCTAATTCTAATTCTGGTTGTATTGCGATTTCTACCACATCTGTAGGGACTTCCTCCACTGACATCCCAAGCCCTCAAAGTCATCCATGAGGCCTGGAATCAACTTCTTCCAAACTCCTGTTAATGTTGATATTTCAACCTCCCCCCATCAATCACAAATGTCCTTAATGGAATTTAAGGGTTGTTATTAAGGACATTTGTGATTCACGGGAGGTTAAAATATCATGAAAGGATTAATGGTGAATCTTTCCAAAAGGTTTTCAATTCAGTTTTTTATCCAGATTCATCAAAGAAATCACTATCTATGACAGCTATACCTTTACAAAATGCAATTATTAATTAATAAAAACACTTGAAAGTCAAAACCACTCCTTGATCCACAGGCTAAAGGATGGATATTGTATTAGCAGCCATGAAAATAACATTAATTTCCAAGTACATCTCCATCTAAGCTTCTGGGTAGCTAGGTGAATTGTCAATAAGCAGCAATCTTTTTTCCTTTTTTCTTTTTTTTCCTTTACGTAGTTTTGCTCTTGTTGCCCAGGCTGTAGGGTGGTGACATGATCTCGGCTCACTGCAACCTCTGCCTCCAGGGTTCAAGCCATTCTTCTGCCTCAGCCTCCCAAGTAGCTGAAATTACAGGTACTGCCACCATGCCCGGCTAATTTTTTTGTATTTTTAGTAGAGACAGGGTTTCACCATATTGGCCAGGCTGATCTCAAATTCCTGGCCTCGTGATCCACCCACCTTGGCCTCCCAAAGTGCAGGGATTACAGGTGTGAGCCACTGCACCTGGCCAAGCAGCAATCTCTTTAAAGGAATCGTTTTTTTTTTTTCTTCTGAGCAGTAGGTCTCAATAGTGGGATTAAAATATTCAGTAAACCATGCTGTTAACAGATGTGTTGTCACTCAGACTGTGATGTTCCATTTCTAGGCCACAGAAAGAATAGATTTGAATAATTCTTAAGGGCCCTGAGATTTTCAGAGTGGTCAATAAGCATTGGCTGTAACTTAAAGTCACCAATTGCAGTGGTCCTCAAAGAGAGTCAGCCCATCCTTTGAAGTTTTGAAGCCAAGCGTTGACGTCTCTCTAGTGATGAAAATTTTACGTCTTCACTAAGCTTAATCATTTCCAGCTCTTGACTTAAACTAAGAGACGTGCATTTCTTCCTTTCATTTGAGCTCTTTGAGGCCGCTGTGGTTACTAATTAACACCCCCGGGGGATGTCACACTCCTCCCTCCTCACTAGACTTCACCCACACCCAGGCGTGGGGAACGGGGCTTCCCACACCCCACACAGCCTGCGCGCCTGGGGCTCTCCCACAGGGGGCTTTCGTGAGCCAGGCAGCAAGGCCTGGCCCAGCCTGGCCCTGACCGAGCCAGGCCCTGCCCCAGCCAGCCGTGCCAGCCCAGCCAGGCTGCACAGGCAGAAGGAATCTCCCAAACTGCCCCGGCATGCGAGGATTTTGTGTTCGCTGCCCTGGCTCCTCCGGCAGTGGGGTTGTCCCACCCTCAGACTCCTCGGTGGCCTCCGCACCCCAACAAATGCCAGGAGGACCAGGACCCACAGCACGGCGGCCTGCTGGGCGCTTGCTCAGTGGGACAGCTTGGGCCCCCTCAAGCTGAGTCGCAGGGCCAAGATGTGCTTGCGCCACCCACGTCCCACCAGAGTCTGCGGTGGGACTGGAGCCCCAGGTCGCCAGGGCTGCGTGGGAAACCAAAGACTGGGCACCTCCACCTCCGAAGCTCGTGACCCCGGAGGCCTCCGCGTCAAGCACAGATGCAAGCCATTCAGGCGCCTCTCAACCACTCCAGGAGCCAAGACGCTGGTCTGCACTCACTCCCAGCCTATTAGATGAGCTCCTGTCGACCCTAGAGTTTCAGCAAAAGGCACAACCTTTCCTAGATCCGGCTCCACTGGGGGAGCTGAAGGACGTGGAAGAGCCCGCTCCGCTGGAACCACTCCTCAGCCAGGAAGAACACAGGGCTCTGCTGGAGGAGCTTTAGGCGCGGGGTTGGGGCGGCGGCCTCTCTTTCGTGGTGAACCTCTGACTCGGTATGGAGAGGCGTGTCTTCCCTTCCAGCTGACCTGCCTAGGATCTCTGAGTTCCAGGTCCCGTGAGAGACCCCACACAGTGGAGGGCCGTCATTCTTTCCCGAGCATCCCGGGGATCCCAGAGCCCGTCCAGGTACCGGGAGGTAGACTGTCTACTGCTCATGCGCGGGTTTGCAGGCAGCAGCCTAGGTTTTCTAACTAGTCCAGGCGGAGCTCTCATCCCTTTTCCCCCCACCCACCCGCGTTCTTCAGTACAGTGGGCGGAGACCCCCATCTCGGGAAACACTGACGCGGGCAGCCGCCAGGCATGCTCTTCTTTCCCCGTCTCGCCGCCTCTGCCTCCCCCCGCCACCGTCACTCGCCTACCCGTGCCCCGCCAGCTTCCTCGCCATCACCGTGGAGCGCCTGACAGCTAAATGCAGACCAGAGTCCCCGCGCAAACCGGGGTGCTGCCCTTTCTACGCGGGAGGGAACTCAGGCAGAGAGCAGGAGACGAACCGAGACAGAGAGGGAGGGAGCGATGGAGGGAGGAAAGAACGGATGGACGGAGGGACCTTGGAAGGGATGGAGGGATAAAAGGAGGAAGAGAGGGAAGGAGGGAGGAAGGAAGGGACAGAGAAAGGAAGGCAGAGAGAAAAGCGGTCTTCTGCCTCCAGGACCAGCAGGAACTCGCACTAAGGAAAAATGTTGGGTGCCCAGTGCGGTCTAAGTGGTCGGCCCACAGCCGCGTTGGCCTGCGGGGCGCTCACCGGCCCTCCAGATCACCAGCCTGGATTACTTCATCCGGGAGCGATTCAGACGAATTTCGTCTCCCAGGGAATGAGAGAATCGCCCAGAGAGCAATGAGCCGAGACTCGGGTGGTTGTCCATTTTTCATCCACATGGTTCACAGATGAGATAGCCCCACGTTGAGCCTGCAAAGGAGCGCGAGGCGGATAGTCCCGTCCTCACAGGAGTCACACTTAGGCCGACTGAAGTGTGGTTTCGGATTCCACTTTGCTTTGCCCTCTGCAAGGGGGCCTGTTGCTCACGTGTCTTACTGGGCTTAAGTCAAGGTGTTATCAGGGCTGTATTGCCCCCCGACTGTCCACCCGCCTCCTTTCTCCAAGGCAAAGCACCTCCAAGTAAACCCACACAGGACCGACAGTCAGAGGCAGAACGGTGCTGGCGAAATTGGGTACCCATAAGTAAAAGAATGAACCTGGGCCCTTCACTTATACCATAAGAAAAAATTAACTAACTGGATCAAATACCTAAATGTAAGAACTAAAACTACAAAATTCTTAGAACAAAATATAGGGGAAACATGTCATACACTGGATTTGGCAGTGTTTTTTTTTTTTTAAACAGGACAACCAAAACACATGAAACAAAAGAAAAATAGATGAATCAGAATCTATCCAGAATACGCAAAGAACAATTCAGCAACAATAACACAAGCTACCTGTTTAAAATATTGGCAAAAATCCTAAGCAGACATTTCTCTAAAAATTATGTAAAGTGGCTAATAAGCACATGAAAAGATGCTCAACAAAACTCATCATTAGTGAAATGCAAATCTAACCCCAAATGACATATCACTTAATACCCATCAGCATAGCTACTACCAAAAGAAAGAAAACAAAACAGAAAATCACAAGTGTTGGTGAGGATGTGGAGCAATTAGAACCCTTGTACACTGTTGGTGGAAATGTAAAATGCTACAGCTACTATAAAATAACAACATAGTAACTAAAAAATTTACACGTAATTTCACCATACGATCCAGCAATTTCACATCTAGGTATGTAGCAAAAGATAGGAAAGCAAAGACAGAAAATAATACACGTACACCTAGGTTCACAGCAACATTACTCACATCACCAGAAAGCTGTTTGAATTACTCAAGTGTTGTTTGAATTACCATCAGTGAATTAATAGATAAAATGTGATTTATACATACAGTGGAATATTATTCAGCTATGTAAAATAAGGAAATTCTGACACATGGTATGTCATGCATGAACCTTAAGGACATTGTGCAAAGTGACACGAGCCAGTCATAAAAGAACAAATACTGAATCATTCCAATTATAAGATACTTAGAGTAAAGAAATACTAGAAACCCAAGTAGAAGAGTGGTTCCTAGGAGCCTGAGGGGGAGTAACAAGGAGCTTATTTAATGGGTATAGAGTTTTGTTTCTGCAAGTTGAAAGAAGGTCCCTATAAATGGGAATGATAGTTGCAAAACAATGTGAATGTAGTTAATTTTTCTGAGCTGCACACTTACAATAGCTAAAATGGTTAATTTGATGTACACTTTACCACAAAGTAAAAAAAATAATTTTTAAATAAACAAACTATAGCTATCTGCAATATCATGAGTTAATACCGTAATTATAATGTTGCATAGAAGAAAGTCGATGTAAAAGTATAAATATTATACAATTTCACTCATATAAAATCCAAAAAGTGAACGCAACTGAGGTTCTGGCTTCCAGTAATAATTAAGTAAAGTAGTTTGTTGAATACTTCACAGATAACTATAACAAAGCTCTTTGGTCACAGGGCTGCAGCACTGCAATCTCAGAATGCACCAGGCTCAGGGAGAGTGCGCTAATCTCTGGAGGAAGGGACGACGCTCCGCACTTCTCGCTGGTCTTGCTGGGAGATGCAGTCTCATAAACGCTCCCAGTCCTTTGGTTACAGGGCTGCAACACTACAATCCTAGCATGCAACGGACTTAGGGAAAGTGCGCGTCACTGGAGGAAGAGGCAGGGCCATGCGCGCCTCGGTGGGCTTGCTGGGAGATGTAGTCTCATAAACTCCCAGCCCTTTCATCACCGGGCTGCAAGACTACAGTCCCAGCATGCACACAGCTCGGGGACAGTGCCCATTACTGGTGGAAGAGACCGGACTGTGGGTGCCTCCTTCTACTTGCTGGGAGATGTAGTTTCATAAAGACTCCCAGACTTTCCGGTCCCGTGGCTACAGGACTACCATCCCAGTATTCACCGGGGTCAGGGACAGTGCGCTTCACTGGAAAAATAAACGGGGCTGTGTGCATCTCCCTAGGTTTGCTGGGAGATATATGCTCATAAACTCTTCCAGCCCTTTCCTCTAAGAGCTGCAGGACTACAATCTTAGCATGCACTAGTCTCAGGGACAATGCGTGTCACTGGAGGAAGAGACTGGGCTGTGTGCGCCTCCCTAGGATTGCTGGAAGATGTATTCTCATAAACACTCCCAACCCTTTGTCAAAGGGCTACAGGACTACAATCCCAGCATGCGCCAGGCTCCAGGGCGAGGCACAGACCTGGAAGAAGGGGCAGAGTGGTACGCGCCCCACCTAATATGCTGGGAGCTGTAGTCCGTTAACTACTTTCAGTCTGTTTGTCGTTAGGCTTCAGAACTATACTCCCAGCATGTACCAGGATCCGGGGTGCATAGCCCTGGAGGAAGGGTCAGAGTGGTGTGGACTTCCCGGAGTCCAAAGCACTGCTGAGTTCTTATGCTATGCCGACTCTTTGCAAGGAGAGTGAGTACAGAGGTGCACCTGGAGGGCAGGTCTGGGCTGGGCATTGAGGAGGGTATTACTCTACGAAGACACCTTCCCTTTTCCCAAATGGCCGCTTTGTCCTCACCCGATTGAGCCTATCATTCTCAGGTTCCTCTTTCAATTGCACCCAGGGTTCTTTCCAGAGCATTACGTCTTCTGCAGCCCTAGGCGCTGCCTTTTTTCCTAAACTGCTGTGTAAACTTTCCTGATGTCCGAGACACTGTCCATTATGCCGCAGCCCTCTTTTTTCTCTAGCCAGAGCACGCACTCAACCGTTTTTGAGAGAAATCTTTCACCTGGCCTGCTTGTGAGCAGCTTCAGAGCTCTGCAGGGGGTGACAAGGGCTGTGGCTTCCTGGAAATATCACTCTCAAAGTCGCCTTTTTCACAACTGTGAAAGTCTAGTCATCAGAAGTTTAATTATTGGGTTGCACAAAATCTGCTTAGACTCCGAAGCGTGAGTCTTGTGAGCCATTTTCATCAACCCATTTAAGTGGACAAGCTCCAAAATGCAACCTGAAGTTGCTGACTATTTAGGCATTTTACACTTGAAATTAATGGTCTCATCTCAAGTCAGGCCTGGCTTGCCAGTAACTCAGAGCCACATATGGGACCTGATACCTCAGGAACAGATAGTGTTCCAGCTTTATGGGAGCAACTTTTAAGATGTGGAGCACTTGGGGTCATTTGAAACCCGCTATCATCAGTAGGGGCTTTTACTTCTAAAAAGCATTTGCATTTTAGAATGCAACCTGACCCTTTGTTTATTTTAACAGTAAAAAACACATTCCTGGGTGGAGATTTAAGATGCTAATGAGACAAGCATTGTATGCACAAATGTGTACAGAACATGCTTTCTGCAACGCTTCTTTCCACCTTCTTATGAATAATCATGCAAAACTCCCATAAAGGGGGTTTCTCCAGCAATAATTAGCGCTGTCTCACTTTTATGAGCAGGCTGCCCTGGAATCTCTTTCTCAGACTGTACCGTCTATTCTGCAATTAATTTTCAAAATATTCTCTTTTTTTTTGCAATAAATTATGCTGTACTTCTTTTGCTGTGTGTCTCTTGTTTAAATTCTTTTTAACTAAGAAGATAAGAACCAAGGTATTACATCAGCCATCAACATTTCTGGTATCATGACCTGGGGAGAGGTTTGTCTGCTTCATTAATTTCAGTTTCCCTTTTCTTTCAGTGAATACTATGGCAGTTCCAGACTCCCTGGTTAACTATCGCTGCTTGTTCCAGTGCTATTTCAGTAAAGTTCTGGGGGAAACGTTTTTAAGTCAACTTTATTCTTTAGAGAGAGAATATATGTCCGCTCTCCTTTTGGCTGCTACTTCTGTGGTATCGATAAATAAACTAACCACATAGGTTGCAATCAATATTTCATATTTGGGCTGCTTTGCTGCTTAGTTTCACATCTTTCTGGCCACAGTTCAGACTCAGCTTATTGTTTCCTGTCCCTTCAGCAATACTCCATCGCCACCTAGTGGTCATTGTAATGTATTTTTCTGGTCAGGTTTTCTGTTCACAAAAATTTTTGTTTTGTTTTGAGCGGCACATTAAGAGAACCCTGTCCGTTCAGGCTTTATGCATTTCCCAGCTCCTTAAAATTGTTCTTCAACAGGCTTTTTTTTTCTTTTTAATTTTTCTTTTTATTTTTTTATGTTTTTTTCTTTTTTTTATTATACTTTAAGTTTTAGGGTACATGTGCACATTGTGCAGGTTAGTTACATATGTATACATGTGCCATGCTGGTGCGCTGCACCCACTAACTCGTCATCTAGCATTAGGTATATCTCCCAATGCTATCCCTCCCCCCTCCCCCCACCCCACAACAGTCTCCAGAGTGTGATGTTCCCCTTCCTGTGTCCATGTGATCTCATTGTTCAATTCCCACCTATGAGTGAGAATATGCGGTGTTTGGTTTTTTGTTCTTGCGATAGTTTACTGAGAATGATGATTTCCAATTTCATCCATGTCCCTACAAAGGACATGAACTCATCATTTTTTATGGCTGCATAGTATTCCATGGTGTATATGTGCCACATTTTCTTAATCCAGTCTATCATTATTGGACATTGGGGTTGGTTCCAAGTCTTTGCTATTGTGAATAATGCCGCAATAAACATACGTGTGCATGTGTCTTTATAGCAGCATGATTTATAGTCCTTTGGGTGTATACCTAGTAATGGGATGGCTGGGTCAAATGGTATTTCTAGTTCTAGATCCCTGAGGAATCGCCACACTGACTTCCACAATGGTTGAACTAGTTCACAGTCCCACCAACCGTGTAAAAGTGTTCCTATTCCTCCACATCCTCTCCAGCACCTGTTGTTTCCTGACTTTTTAATGATTGCCATTCTAACTGGTGTGAGATGGTATCTCATTGTGGTTTTTATTTGCATTTCTCTGATGGCCAGTGATGATGAGCATTTTTTCATGTGTTTTTTGGCTGCATAAATGTCTTCTTTTGAGAAGTGTCTGTTCATGTCCTTCGCCCACTTTTTGATGCAGTTGTTTCTCTTTTTCTTGTAAATTTGTTTGAGTTCATTGTAGATTCTGGATATTAGCCCTTTGTCAGATGAGTAGGTTGTGAAAATTTTCTCCCATTTTGTAGGTTGCCTGCTCACTCTGATGGTAGTTTCTTTTGCTGTGCAGAAGCTCTTTAGTTTAAATAGATCCCATTTGTCAATTTTGGCTTTTGTTGCCATTGCTTTTGGTGTTTTAGACATGAAGTCCTTGCCCATGCCTATGTCCTGAATGGTAATGCCTAGGTTTTCTTCTAGGGTTTTTATGGTTTTAGGTCTAACGTTTAAGTCTTTAATGCATCTTGAATTGATTTTTGTATAAGGTGTAAGGAAGGGATCCAGTTTCAGCTTTCTACATATGGCTAGCCAGTTTTCCCAGCACAATATATTAAATGGGGAATCCTTTCCACATTGCTTGTTTTTGTCAGGTTTGTCAAAGATCAGATAGTTGTAGATATGTGGCACTATTTCTGAGGGCTCTGTTCTGTTCCATTGATCTATATCTCTGTTTTGGTACCAGTACCATGCTGTTTTGGTTACTGTAGCCTTGTAGTATAGTTTGAAGTCAGGTAGTGTGATGCCTCCAGCTTTGTTCTTTTGGCTTAGGATTGACTTGGCGATGCGGGCTCTTTTTTGGTTCCATATGAACTTTAAAGTAGTTTTTTCCAATTCTGTGAAGAAAGTCATTGGTAGCTTGATGGGGATGGCATTGAATCTGTAAATTACCTTGGGCAGTATGGCCATTTTCACGATATTGATTCTTCCTACCCATGAGCATGAAATGTTCTTCATTTGTTTGTATCCTCTTTTATTTCCTTGAGCAGTGGTTTGTAGTTCTCCTTGAAGAGGTCCTTCACATCCCTTATAAGTTGGATTCCTAGGTATTTTATTCTCTTTGAAGCAATTGTGGATGGAAGTTCACTCATGATTTGGCTCTCTGTTTGTCTGTTGTTGGTGTGTAAGAATGCTTTTGATTTTTGTACATTGATTTTGTATCCTGAGACTTTGCTGAAGTTGCTTATCAGCTTAAGGAGATTTTGGGCTGAGACAATGGGGTTTTCTAGATATACAATCATGTCGTCTGCAAACAGGGACAATTTGACTTCCTCTTTTCCTAATTGAATACCCTTTATTTCCTTCTCCTGCCTAATTGCCCTGGCCAGAACTTCCAACAGTAAGTTGAATAGGAGTGGTGAGAGAGGCCATCCCTACCTTGTGCCAGTTTTCAAAGGGAATGCTTCCAGTTTTTGTCCATTCAGTATGATATTGGCTGTGGGTTTGTCATAGATAGCTCTTATTATTTTGAAATACATCCCAGCAATACTTAATTTATTGAGAGTTTTTAGCATGAAGTGTTGCTGAATTTTGTCAAAGGCCTTTTCTGCATCTATTGAGATAATCATGTGACTTTTGTCTTTGGCTCTGTTTATATGCTGGATTACATTTATTGATTTGCGTATATTGAACCAGCCTTGCATCCCAGGGATGAAGCCCACTTGATCATGGTGGATAAGCTTTTTGATGTGCTGCTGGATTCGGTTTGCCAGTATTTTATTGAGGATTTTTGCATCAATGTTCATCAAGGATATTGGTCTATAATTCTCTTTTTTGGTTGTGTCTCTGCCCAGCTTTGGTATCAGAATGATGCTGGCCTCATAAAATGAGTTAGGGAGGATTCCCTCTTTTTCTATTGATTGGAATAGTTTCAGAAGGAATGGTACCAGTTCCTCCTTGTACCTCTGGTAGAATTCGGCTGTGAATCCATCTGTTCCTGGACTCTTTTTGGTTGGTAACCTATTGGTTATTGCCACAATTTCAGAGATTGTTATTGGTCTATTCAGAGATTCAACTTCTTCCTGGTTTAGTCTTGGGAGAGTGTATGTGTCAAGGAATTTATCCATTTCTTCTAGATTTTCTAGTTTATTTGCGTAGAGGTGTTTGTAGTATTCTCTGATGGTAGTTTGTATTTCTGTTGGATCGGTGGTGATATCCCCTTTATCATTTTTTATTGTGTCTATTTGATTCTTCTCTCTTTTTTTCTTTATTAGTCTTGCTAGTGGTCTATCTATTTTGTTGATCCTTTCAAAAAACCAGCTCCTGGATTCATTAATTTTTTGAAGGTTTTTTTGTGTCTCTATTTCCTTCAGTTCTGCTCTGATTTTAGTTATTTCTTGCCTTCTGCTAGCTTTTGAATGTGTTTGCTCTTGCTTTTCTAGTTCTTTTAATTGTGATGTTAGGGTGTCAATTTTGGATCTTTCCTGCTTTTTCTTGTGGGCATTTAGTGCTATAAATTTCCCTCTACACACTGCTTTGAATGTGTCCCAGAGATTCTGGTATGTTGTGTCTTTGTTCTCGTTGGTTTCAAAGAACATCTTTATTTCTGCCTTCATTTCATTATGTACCCAGTAGTCATTCAGGAGCAGATTGTTCAGTTTCTATGTAGTTGAGCAGTTTTGAGTTAGATTCTTAATCCTGAGTTCTAGTTTTATTGCACTGTGGTCTGAGAGATAGTTTGTTATAATTTCTGTTCTTTTACATTTGCTGAGGAGAGCTTTACTTCCAACTATGTGGTCAATTCTGGAATAGGTGTGGTGTGGTGTGGTGCTGAAAAAAATGTATATTCTGTTGATTTGGGGTGGAGAGTTCTGTAGATGTCTATTAGGTCCGCTTGGTGCAGAGCTGAGTTCAATTCCTGGTTATCGGTGTTGACTCTCTGTCTCGTTGATCTGTCTAATGTTGACAGTGGGGTGTTAAAATCTCCCATTATTAATGTGTGGGAGTCTAAGTCTCTTTGTAGGTCACTCAGGACTTGCTTTATGAATCTGGGTGTTCCTGTGTGGGGTGCATATATATTTAGGATAGTTAGCTCTTCTTGTTGAATTGATCCCTTTATCATTATGTAATGCCCTTCTTTGTCTCTTTTGATCTTTGTTGGTTTAAAGTCTGTTTTATCAGAGACTAGGTTTGCAACCCCTGCCTTTTTTTGTTTTCCATTTGCTTGGTAGATCTTCCTCCATCCTTTTATTTTGAGCCTATGTGTGTCTCTGCACATGAGATGGGTTTCCTGAATACAGCACACTGATGGGTCTTGACTCTTTATCCAATTTGCCAGTCTGTGTCTTTTAATTGGAGCATTTAGTCCATTTACATTTAAAGTTAATATTGTTATGTGTGAATTTGATCCTGTCATGATGATGTTAGCTGGTTATTTTGCTCGTTAGTTGATGCAGTTTCTTCCTAGTCTCGATGAACTTTACATTTTGGCATGATTTTGCAGTGGCTGGTATCGGTTGTTCCTTTCCATGTTTAGCGCTTCCTTCAGGAGCTCTTTTAAGGCAGGCCTGGTGGTGACAAAATCTGTCAGCATTTGCTTGTCTGTAAAGGATTTTATTTCTCCTTCACTTATGAAGCTTAGTTTGGCTGGATATGAAATTCTGGGTTGAAAATTCTTTTCTTTAAGAATGTTGAATATTGGCCCCCACTCTCTTCTGGCTTGTAGGGTTTCTGCCGAGAGATCCGCTGTTCATCTGATGGGCTTCCCTTTGAGGGTAACCCGACCTTTCTGTCTGGCTGCCCTTAACATTTTTTCCTTCATTTCAACTTTTGTGAATCTGACAATTATGTGTCTTGGAGTTGCTCTTCTCAAGGAGTATCTTTGTGGCGTTCTCTGTATTTCCTGAATCTGAATGTTGGCCTGCCTTGCTAGATTGGGGAAGTTCTCCTGGATAATATCCTGCAGAGTGTTTTCCATCTTGGTTCCTTTCTCCCCATCACTTTCAGGTACACCAAGCAGACGTAGATTTGGTCTTTTCACATAGTCCCTTATTTCTTGGAGGCTTTGCTCATTTCTTTTTATTCTTTTTTCTCTAAACTTCCCTTCTCGCTTCATTTCATTCATTTCATCTTCCATCGCTGATAACCTTTCTTCCAGTTGATCGCATCGGCTCCTGAGGCTTCTGCATTCTTCACGTAGTTCTCAAGCCTTGGTTTTCAGCTCCATGAGCTCCTTTAAGCACTTCTCTGTATTGGTTATTCTAGTTATACATTCTTCTAAATTTTTTTCAAAGTTTTCAACTTCTTTGCCTTTGGTTTGAATGTACTCCCATAGCTCAGAGTAATTTGATCGTCTGAAGCCTTCTTCTTTCAGCTCGTCAAAGTCATTCTCCATCCAGCTTTGTTCCGTTGCTGGTGAGGAACTGCGTTCCTTTGGAGGAGGAGTGGCACTCTGCTTTTTAGAGTTTCCAGTTTTTCTGTTCTGTTTTTTCCCCATCTTTGTGGTTTTATCTCCTTTTGGTCTTTGATGATGGTGATGTACAGATGGGCTTTTGTGTGGATGTCCTTTCTGTTTGTTAGTTTTCATTCTAACCGAGAGGACCCTCAGCTGCAGGTCTGTTGGAGTACACTGCCGTGTGAGGTGTCAGTGTGCCCCTGTTAGGGGGTGCCTCCCAGTTAGGCTGCTCGGTGGTCAGGGGTCAGGGACCCACTTGAGGAGGCAGTCTGCCCCTTCTCAGATCTCCAGTTGCATACTGGGAGAACCACTGCTCTCTTCAAAGCTGTCAGACAGGGACATTTAAGTCTGCAGAAGTTACTGCTGTCTTTTTGTTTGTCTGTGCCCTGCCCCCAGAAGTGGAGCCTACAGAGGCAGGCAGGCCTCCTTGAGCTGTGGTGAGCTCCACCCAGTTCTAGTTTTCAGGCTGCTTTGTTTACCTAAGCAAGCCTGGGCGATGGCGGGTGCCCCTCCCCCAGCCTCGCTGCGGCCTTGCAGTTTGATCTCAGACTGCTGCGCTAGCAATCAGCGAGACTCCGTGGGTGTAGGACCTTCCGAGCCAGGTGCGGGATATAATCCCGTGGTGCACCGTTTTTTAAGCCCGTCGGAAAAGTGCAGTATTCGGGTGAGAGTGACCCGATTTTCCAGGTGCCGTCCGTCACCCCTTTCTTTGACTAGGAAAGGGAACTCCCTGACCCCTTGCACTTCCTGAGTGAGGCAATGCCTTGCCCTGCTTCGGCTCTTGCACGGTGTGTGCACCCATTGACCTGAGCCCACTGTCTGGCACTCCCTAGTGGGATGAACCCGGTACCTCAGATGGAAATGCAGAAATCACCCGTCTTCTGTGTCGCTCACGCTGGGAGTTGTAGACCGGAGCTGTTCCTATTCAGCCATCTTGGCTCCTCCCCAAACAGGCTTTCTTTACTGAACAAAAGATGCACAGTCATGTAGATGCCCGGTCATAGGGATTGCATCTGAGCATTCCAGGTGTTATAATCGGGCATCTCAAATGGCAAACCAGTGAATTTGGGCAAGCCTTGTCAGCCAGACATCTGCCCCCCAGCCAGCAGTGGGGGTCATCTTGGTAGGGCTAGAGATGTCTACCACTGGTGAGAGCTAGGATGGTGTATAGCAAATGCCTATGACCTCCTTGAGCTTCAGTTAATGGGGTTTCAAGGGGATGAGCTGGACACCATGGTGGTTCCACTTGGCTCATGAGGATGCCCACAGCCTTCTGGTCTTCAGTAAATGTTCTGTTGTTGCACGATTCTCTCGGCACCGTGGGAGCCACTTCCTCTACTGTCACTGAAACACCCCTGGGATGTATATCTAAAAATTTGAACAGCTTTTGGTTAAATAAACTTAGAAAAAAGAAAACCTTATCTTCTTTTGTAACACTATTTACCCTGCCTACAGATTAGCTGACAAAACATGGCTGGAGAATGAGACTGTGAACTTTAACTCCATCCTCCAGCTAGATGGTTTCTGTGGAAATCAGGGAAAATGGTCTGAAGTATCCTATGTGCAAGACTTTCTGGCCTGACAACAAAACCCAGCTCTATGCAGCACCTGTGGGCTAAAGCCTAGTAAGCCAGAAAGCCCCTCAGAACCATTAGAAGATCATCTCTTATTAAGGGGAAGGGACCTCAGACCCCACAGCCCAACACCAGCTCCAGATAGGGGCCCTCAGGGGCACACACCTCCTTTAGAATCCCCAGCGTCTCCAAACTATCAGAGTCTTCTGTAGAATCTAAGCTTGTTTAACCTCCTCCTTATGCTCCTCTCTATCGGCCTTTGCCAGATACAATAGAGACCAGCCCAGCTGCAGTTACAGTGAGACTTCACACCATCCAGGGCCAGAGAAATTTCTCCCCGTACAGAAAGTCCCAAATGGAGAGAGGTCCACCAGTGTGCTTGTTCTACTCTCAATAAATGATCTAATACAATATAAGCAACAACTCTGATGGCCCTCAGACAACTTCAGCGCATTTACTGAAGGCTTCCAGGCTCTAACTTTGACCACCGTTCAACTGCACCATCCATAAACGAACCGAATGACTGCTGCCAACTTAGCTGCACAAAATTTTGCTTATTGGCAAAAAATAGAAAATACTTAAAGCATTTGTTGCTTTCAAAATGTTAATGCAAAATACTTTTGCAGCACAAATGTCACCATAAGGTGGAGCCTTGGGAATCCAGTATAAACTATCTCAGAAAGCCTCAATGGGTCTGCAACAAGCAGCAGAGGGCCTCAATAGACTTCAACAACATCTGGACTCCATGGCCACTGTAGTCCGACAAAACCAAAGAGCCTGGGATCTTCTCCCAGCTAGGCAAAGAGGAGGATGTTTACATCTAAAAGAAGAATGCTGTTTTTGAGATCAATCAGCCTGGTTTAATCCAAGAAAATGTTAATAATGTCATCACCCAGGCAGACAAAATTGAATCTCTAGGAACTTCCATGGGAACATGAAAGCAATGTCTGTTACCTGCCTTACTCTCTTTAATAGTAACAGTCATTACTATACTTTCAGCTTTTACTTTTGTTCCAATTTTGTTTAAAATGTTAACTGATTTCTTGCTGTCTTGCTTACGGCAACTCCATGTTTGCATGATGGTTTTGCAAGGCTTTCAACCTTTGCTGCCAACATCTTGCCCACTGGCTCCACGAATGACATGGTTTACACCCAGTTAGATAACACAGGAAGAAATTTTAGGGCCCAGGCTAGGCAGAAATAACACCCACTCAGCAGGAAACAGCTCCAGAAAAAATGACCTAGCCCCTCAACCTCCAATATGATTTTGACCCTAAGGTCTCTTAGGGGGAAATTGAGGCAGAATAGATAGTCAAGGAAATGACCATGATCTCAGGATACAGAAATGTGTGGAAAAGAGAGATCAGACTGTTACTGTGTCTATGTAGAAAGAAGTAGACATAAAAGACTCCATTTTGTTCTGCACTAAGAAAAATTATTCTGCCTTGAGATGCTGTTAATCTGTAACCCTAGCCCCAACCCTGTGCTCACAGAGACTTGTGATGTGTTGAGTCACGATTTAATGAATTTAGCGCTATGCAGAATGTGCTTTGTTAAAAAAGTGCTTGAAGGCAGTAAGCTTGTTAAAATTCATCACCACTCTCTAATCCCAAGTACCCAGGGACACAATACACTGTGGAAGGCAACAGGGACCTCTGCCTAGGAAAACCAGTTATTGTCCAATGTTTCTCCCCACGTGATAGCCTCAGATATGGCCTCCTGGGAAGGTAAAGACTTGGCCATTCTCCAGCCCGACACCCATAAAGGGTCTGTGCTGAGGAGGATTAGTAAAAGAGGAAGGCCTCTTTGCAGTTGAGATAAGATGAAGCCATCTGTCTCCTGCTCATCCCTGGGCAATGGAATGTCTTGGTGTAAAAACCGATTGTATGTTCTATTTACTGAGATAGGAGAAAACCACCTCAGGGCTGGAGTTGAGACATGCTGGCGGCAATACTGCTCTTTAATGCACCCAGATGTTTGTATACGTGCACATCAAGGCACAGCGCATTTTCTAACCTTGTTTATGACACAGAGACATTTCTTCACATGTTTTCCTGCTGACCCTCTCTCCACCATTACCTTATTGTCCTGCCATATCCCCCTCTCCAAGATGGTAGAGATAATGATCAATAAATACTGAGGGAACTCAGAGACCAGTGCCCGCGCGGGTCCTCCGCATGCTGAGCGCTGGTCCCCTGAGCCCAATTTTCTTTGTCTATACTTTGTCTCTGTGTCTCTTTCTTTTCTCAGTCTCTAGTTCCACCTGACGAGAAACACCCACAGGTGTGGAAGGGCAGGCCTCCCCTTCATTGAAACTGGCGACTGTACAGCCAAAACAATAAGCTTTAGCATTCGCATTGTAATTGGGCTCATTCAAGCAAAGTTATCTTCATTAAGGACTTTCTGTTCTAGAGAGCACGTGCATTTTGATTTTACCTGTCCTCAAACTTAACTTTTGCTTATTTTAATAGCAAAAATACACCCCCCAGCTGGGCATGGTGGCTCACACCTGTACTACCAGCACTTTGGGAGGCTGAGGGGTATGGATCACTTGAAACCAGAAGCTCAAGACTAGACTGGCCAACATAGTGAAACCCCGTCTCAACTAAAAATACAAAAATTAGCCGGGTTTGGTGGTGCATGCCTGTAATCCCAGCTACTCAGGAGGCCGAGGCATGAGAATGGCTTGAACTCGGGAGGCAGAGGTTGCAGTGAGGAGAGATTGCACCACCGCACCCCAGCCTGGGCAACAGAGTGAAACTCTGTCTCAAGCAAACAAACAAAAATACACTCCTGGCTACAGGTCTAAGATGCTAATGAGACATGCAACATATGAACAAGCATGTACAGCTACCGCACATGTGCACCCAATAGACCACTCAGAACAGGCTTACTAACAGCTCCTCTTCCCCTTTTCTTATTAATAATAACGTAAAACTCCCATAAGGGGGTTTCTCCAGCGACAATCCACACTGTCTCACTCTTATGAGCAGCCCGCCCTGGAATATCTCTCTCATGGTGTACTGTATTCTGCATTTAACTTTCAAACATTTTTTTTCTTCTCCAATAAATTATGTTGTACTTCTTTTCTGTGTGTCTCTTGTTTAAATTCTTATAAACTAAGAAGACAAGAACCGAGGTATCACATCAGCTGTCAACACAGCAATAAATCAGCCTCCTTCCTGGGGGCATAGTCCATGCAGAAAAGGAGAGTTGCATCACCTAGGTGCTGGACCCAGAAATATGTCACAATTTATCCTATACACGAAGTTAAGGTAATAGAGAAGAGTCATATTAAATAGTTTCTGGGCCCAGGGATATGTCACAATGACTCCTGTGAGCAGAGATCTGGCAGAATAATCCCATAACTGGTGTGCTGGAAACAGCGATTAGCCACCCTTTCATCTGTGGGCGTGACCCAGGCAAGAAAGAAGGGTCACGGCATTTAGGTGCTTGTTGCAGAGATATGTAACCATCTCTCTTATGGGTAAAGCCCAGGTAAGAGAGGAGAGTCACATCTCCAAGGTATTAACGTAGAAATATGTCACAAGAAACTTTTAGGCAGGGCCCATGCTGGATCTTCTTGTCTTCCAGATGTTAGGTCCAGTGATATATCAGAATACCCAAAATACACAGGGCTCAGTCAAAAAAGGAAAGTCACATCACCTAGGTGCTGGGTCTAGACATATGTCACGTCACGTCTCTTTTATGGGAAACGCTCAGGTAAAAAAGCAGGTCACATCAAATAGTTGTTAGGCCCAGAGATATGTCACATTGCCTCCTGCTTGAAGTGTCTAGGCCAAAGACTCACATCACCTCGGTGTTAGGCCAGTGTTAATATATAAACATTCAACCAGAGTTGAAATGGTGGCTCATTTCTAAGCCCAGCTTATAGACAAGGGAGGAGTCTCCTATCCTGACATAGTTAATTGTAATGATGTTGACTCTCATACCCGGGTTTAATGCCACAGACACGATCATGGGTCCCTACCAGCAGGAAGGTCTCAAAGTTGATTGCAACTTTCATTCATACTGTATAGCACCATTGGGTAGTACACAGAGAGTGCTAACTGGGCCGAGCACACAAGTGAGATTGTGGCACTCATATGCACACCCAGTCAACAGTAAATATTGTCATCCTCTCACATGAACACAGGTCACTGTTGAGGTTCTGAATCTCACACCTGTAGTCAGTCAAAGGTGGGAAGAAATGACTTATATATGGATACTCATGGGTTGGTGACTCTCAGACCAAGATTCAGCACAACTGTGAGGCTGTGACTTCACTAAGGTGACACAGTGTGCAGAGGAATTGAGGCTTTCATGCACAGATCCAGTCTGGTGTTGAGATGGTTACTCGTGGGCTTAGACCCAACATACAGGAGGTGTTGAATGTCATGCCTACAAGTGAGAGAGTTGTGGGATTGTTAATCTTACTCCTGGACGATTCTGCAGATTTCATGGTGAAATTTCCCAGTGCCTAGCACCTGAGTGACTTGACGCTCTTGCATGGACCCAGCCCACAGATATGGGTATTAACATATTGCTGAATCCAGCACATTGAGGGTGTAACTCTATTCTCCTTCCTTGGCACTGCCCACAGTAAGCATTTTGGCATATCGCTAGACCTTGCACCCAGGTGATGTGAGTCTCCTCTTCTGCCTTGGCGCTGCCCACAGGAAGCGTTATATATAGCTTGGCCTTGGACCCAGGTTATGTGAATCTCCTGCTTGTGCACTGCCCATATGGGACACTGCAGTATATTGCTGGGTCCACTACCCAGGTGTTGTAACTCCTCTGCCTGGGCCCTGCCTGCAAGGGGCATTGTGACATATCTCTGCACTTATCAGCCAGGTAATGTGATTCTCTTCTCCTGCCTGGTCCGTTTACACAGAAGGGATTGTGACATGTTGCTGGGCTTAGCACCAAGTTGCTGTGAATCTTCTGCCTGGATCAAGTTCACAGAAGGCCTTGTGACATACCTGTGGGTCCTTCACCTATTTGATGTGACTCTCCTGTCTTACCTGAGCATTGCCCATATGAAAGATTGTGACATATCTTTGGGCCAAGCACCCGGATGATGTGACTCTTCTCCCTGCCTGGGTCATGTCCACAGAGGGAAGAGTGACTTGTAACTGGGCACAGCACACAGGTGAAGTGATTCTTTTGCCTGGTTCCTACCTACAGGAGTCATTGTCAAATACCTCTGGGCCCATCAACTAGACTATGTGACTCTCTACTTCTTCCTAGGGCCTGCTCACATAAGGATTGTGACATATTACTTTGCCCAGTACTTACAAGATGTAACTTTTCTCTCATGTCTGAGCTCCGTCTTGGAGACGAATGTGGCTCATAGCTATGCCTAGCCCCTAGGTTCTGTAACTTGTCCTTTTTCAAAATCCTACCCACCAGGGGCATTGAAACATCTCTCTGGGCACTTCACTTAGGTAATGTTACCCTGTTGCCTGGAGCCTCCCCTCAGGTGGTATTGTGACATATTGCTGGACCCAGTACCTATGTGATATACTGTCCTTTCTTGCCTTGGTCCTGTATACATTGTGTATTGTAATATATGGCTGGGTTCGATGACTACATGATGTAATTCTTATGCGTAGGCCCTGCCCACAGGGACATTGTGACATTTCTTCAGCTCTGACTCTCCTCTTCTGCCTTAGCCCTGCCAAAAACGTGACATATAACTGGACCTAGTAACCAGCTAATATGAATCTCCTCTTTTGCCTGCACCCAGCATATTTTGTGTATTGTGACATATCATTTATCTCAACACCTGCAGGATGAAAGTCTCCTGCCTGAGCCCAGCCATCAGTCAAAATTGTCATTCTCCCACATGAACACAGCCCATGATTCAGGTTTTGAATCTCACACCCAGAGGCAGTCAAAAGTTGGAAAATTGGCTCTCATAAGTGGATGTTGTCCACAAGTGAGTATGTGACTCCCTGACCAAGATCCAAAACACTTGTGAGGCTGTGACTACAGTAAGATAACTCAGTTTTCAAAAGACATTAAGGCTGTCATGGAAAAATCCATTCCACCGTTGAGATTGTGATTTATGTACATAGATGCAACATACAGGAGGCCTTGACTCTCATACCCAGAACTGGCACTTATGTGGGCTTGTTAATCTCACCGAGGGACCTTCCTGCAGATGTGATTCTGACGTAAACCTCTATGTGTGATTCCTGCAGGTGTGATTCTGAAGTACACCTCTAAGTACGTTGCAGTGAGCCGAGATCGCGCCACTGCACTCCAGCCTGGGTGATAGAGTGAGACTCTCTCAAAAGAAAAAAAGAAAAAAGATGCAATGACCTTGCTTCCTGCCTCTGCCTGAAGTTAGTGGTCCCTGACTTCTGCTGGCACCCAGCAGTCAAAGTGGATGGGGTCGGGGCCAACTCTCAGCTGAGTACAGGGGCATTCCCCTCTCGCTACCTCACACAAGTGAAGCTCCTGGTCATGGCTAACCCGGAGCTGCTCTGTGTCCCAGAGTTCCTCGCTGAACCATTAATATTTATGGGGTACAGTGTGATGTTTCAATGCATCATACTACACGGTACAGTGAGATGCAGTGAAACATCACATTGTACTCCATAAACGTGTATAATTTTCATGTGTTAATTACATTATGTTTCACTGCATCATATTACACGGTACAGCGTGATGCAGTGAAACACCACACTATACTCCGTAAACATGTATAATTATCAAGTGTTAATTATATCACGTTTCACTGCATCACATTGTACCTTTTACACTGTACAGTGATCCAACCAGAGTGATTAGCATATTTAAAAATTTAAATATTTATTTCCTTGTCTAATAAAGTTCAAAATCCTCTGTTCAAGCTATTATAGAATAAACGGTACATTATTATTAGCTATAGTCATCGTACTGTGTAATAGAACACCAGGATTTATTCTTCCTAACTGTAATTTTGTACCCAGTGACAAAGCTCTCCCCACTCTCTCATCCTTCTGCCATCGATAACCTATGTTAACCACAATCCTACTCCCTACTTGTATGAGATGGACTTCTTCAGATGTCACATGAGTGAGAGCACGTGGTCTTTGTCTTTCTGTGACTGGCTTATTCCACTTAACATAATGTCCTCTACAGTCATCCATGTTGACACAAATTACGGAACTTCATTCTGTTTTATGACTGAACATTATTCCTGTGTGTGTGTGCGTGTGAGTGTGCGTGTGTGTATAGCATTTTCTTTATTCATTCTGTAGATGGGCCCTTATACACTGTTGGTAGGAATGTAAATTACTATAATCATTTCCCATTTCTATAGGGAGAACAGCATGGAGGTTTTTCAATTAATTACAAATAAAACTACCATATGATGCAGCAATCTCATTACTGGGTTTATATCAAAAGGAAATAAAACAAGCAAGTCAAAAAGATAACTGCACTTTCATGTTTTTTAAGCAGTATTCATAATAACCAAAACCATTATTTCTTCTTAGTATTTCTTAATTTACCTTTTTTTCATATATTACACCCTAAACTTTTAAAGGATTCATGTCTGGTTTCCAATTTCTGAAACTTACGAGTCACTGATTCTTTGACTATTGCCTTCCTGTTTAAAGAGTCTAGTAAAACAATTGAATGTCTTTTATTTCCTCTCAATCTAACCTTCATATATAAATATATTTATATTTTCTATTAATTTGCCTTGTATAACATATATGACTACATTAATTGTGATCAGCATTTCACTTTACTAGTCCTCTTTTCGGCTCAGCCTATTTTAATATGTAACTTATATGTTGTACATTAAATTGTTTTACAACACTTTCAATACTTTACTTTTCATTTGCCTCTTTTCCAAAGATAACTTGACAAGCTCGTAGTTTCTTTCTACATTATTTTGGTTTCTTGTTTTTCCATTATATTGACTTAAACATTTAAATGTAAATTCAATATCTGAGATTTATGTGCCATATTTCTTCTGATGCTTCACCCCAGTAGCTCATCTCTTTGTGTGCAACATAATCTATAATTTAATCATCACATATGGGAGACACCACATTCCAATGCCTGCAGGCAGTTCCTCTTTGTTTATTCCATTTGCCTTGTCAGAAGGGAACAACCCACATGGACCTGACATTCTTGTGATCAGACGCATCTGAGTGGAGCCCTGGCCTGTTAGGTTGATTTCTTCTCCAGCTCATTACCTTTATTTACTTCCAGTCCTGGGAAATTTTATTAATTTCATTTCAACTATATTAGGCATTCTGTGAATTCTTGTAACTTCTTGGTGATTTTAATTGTCTGCATTAAGTATTTAAAGTAAATTATTTTTCTGAAAAGCAGAAATATCCATAGTTGCATATATGAGTGAAATACTTTACAGAGATTTTCTATGGCATCTATCACTATCTCATGAGAAATTCCAAGTTTTTTCATTTGAAACACCCCTCTCATCAATAGACCATATTGTAATAATCTGTAGAATGTGATTACTTTTATGCCATTAGAAAATTAATTATATATTGTGTATATATTTTTGAAATACTCCACTGCAATAAATAGTATATGGTCAAAAGTATTGTTTTCTCTAAAATAAAACAAATATGAGTAAAATTATTTACCTGAATTTGGAATTTTTGTCTTCAATCGCCATTCTGTCTCATCAGCACTTCCTTAATCCATAAAAGATATCATTTTTATTTTTAATTCTTAATTTATAGAAATAAATTATTTAACGTTATCATGTTTTTATGGCAATGTAGGACATTTTTAATAAATATATTGAGCTTGAGGCCCTGGCTAAGTATTCCTTTTGTACAAGAAATCAGATTTTTCTGGCACAACTTCATTGCCTGCAATGGTATTTTTAAAAACTATGAATGTCAGCACACAGACTATTTCAACACTGTACTCTTTGTTCATGTATAAACATATCATTAGCTATGAAACAAACCAAATACAAATGCTGAATGTATAGTACATATCAACAAATTCAGATTCTTCATCAAAGAAAACAATAAAAGATGAATTTTCTATGACATGTCACCGTTCATTAGTTCTTTCATGTGATTTAGGCTATTCACATATTAGAAAATGTATGCACCACTATCCATGTTTTCTCAACATTTTTTGTATCTAGGTCCTGAAGGGCATAAAAAATGTATATTGTCAGATTTATTTTTATTGACTTTCAATGTTTCTTTTGCTGTATTTTCTGTGCATCTTAGTATGAATATATGGAGACAAGGACAAATGTACATTTAAGTGGTTATATGAATTTTGCTTATATGGCTAATTGCTTATATGGATGTTGTAAATGACAAGATAAAATAGTAAAGTTTGATAAACTTATCTGTGCCCTGTGAACTTTAGTTCACTTACTGTATAACTTAATTCAGGCACTAATAATTAGTTTAAAAAGTGTTTTTTTAAAAGCTGCCAACCACACTTTATTACACATTTCTGAATCAGGAAGGGGTAAATTGTGACATAGTTTTCTTGTGCCACTGAATTTTTTGAGGAGAAACGTTCTGCAATAAAATAAGAGTTTCCAAACTCTATTTTTAAAAAAGCTTGAGTTTTCTTCTGTGATTAACCTTCACTCCTCAGTCTCTTTTACCCAAGGAATGGTTCCTAGGTCATCTTTTGGAAGTTTAGTTTCTGGAAAGTTTTCAGCAAACCTCTCCTGTGCTTTGTCCTAGTTTCTGTTCTTGTTGTTTTGGAGAAGGTGAGCCTCTTTAATTGAGGATGGTTTGCCTGTCTCCAATCCTGCATGTGTCTGCCGAAGCTGAAGCTGTATCAGAGTTTTTATTCTCCCACCATCATTCCCCAGGCCTTCTCCTGTTTTCAACACATCTTTTTCAACATCTTCTGACTTTTGTCGCTATCAGTAATTTCAGAATGAACAGATGCAGGAGCATCATCTCTTTGGAAATTTCCTTCGCTTCCAATCTGCTCCCTATGTTTTCCAGCTCTGTCGTTATAGTTTACATTCTCTAGTATCTTATCATCTTCATAGTCTGTATTCTGTAAACCATATTTTACTCATATATTTTAAAAATCCTTTTCTTCTTTCCAACTCGTTTCCTTCTTAGTTAATGTTGGACCAACAAATGATTCATCTTTCTTATCAAGGAAAAGGTGAGCTCTAACCTACCCTGGTTCACATCCAACACAGCTATCACGTCAGGGTGAATATGATAAGATAAGGAGTTTCGATATCATGAACTTGCTGATCTGAAAGTTCAGTCACTCACTTTATTTGGAAGACTAACATCATTAGAGTAAGTCTGATAATAATCTGAGATTTGATTCTCAGAATCTTAATAGGAACCAGTGCTGTGGTCAAAATACAGTCCAGCATTTTCATCATAACTAAATCCAGTCTGTGATAAAGCCGCTTCTGCTGTAGCTCTCAAACTTCCAGCTAATGACGGACCTTCTAAGGATATATCTTGTGCTGCTAATGCAGATGCTGGCTCCTGTGAATTTGAGGCAAATGACCCTCTTGTCTACATTCAACATTTGCTGTTTTATCAGTAGAAGGGTGAGCATCATTTTCCATTTGTAATTGGTCTTAAGAATTCAAAGCAGGAGTTTCAATATCCTGATCTTGCTGATCTGACAGTTCAGTCACTCACTTTACTTGGAAGACTAACATCATTAGAGTAGGTCTGACAATAATAATCTGAGATTGACCAAGGATCATGGTTCTCTGTGAGTACTTCTACATCACACTTTCATTATCTCCATTCCCCCCACAGTGGAGCACGTTACTGAGTTCTTCCAGCTGCGTGAGGAGCTCCTGGCCGTTGTCCGTGTCGCTCTGAGCAGCCTTTCTGTGCAAGGCCAGCTTCTCCCCTTCCCGCACCTGCCGCCGGCAGCTCCGCAGTCGCTTTCCAGCTTCTCCGCCCTCCTTCTCTGGGGGCCCGCTGGGGTTCGGGGAGAGGGAGGGGCGGCAAAAGCGAAGGCGCTGGCGGGGGGAACGGGCCCGGGGCCCTGAGTTCGGGCGCAAGACGGCTGCAGCCTCGAAGGGGCTGCGCGGGGCCGAAGCGCAGAATTGAGGAGCCACAGGCCACGGGGACGCACGGGCAGCCACAGGCAGCCTCCGCGGCCTGGACACCACGAAACGCGAAGCCTAACGGGGCTGCGGCAAAGAGCAAGGGGACTGCGATGGCCCTGCCCTATCTTCGCGGCCTGGAATCCCGGGAAGGATTGTACCTTCGCCAGCCATTGGGGCCGGGGGAGGAGCGTCGAAGTTCAGGGGCCAGAAGCGCTCTGGCTGTTCTCGAGTTGAGCTGGAAACAGTGGCCAAGAGTGTTTTTTTTTCCGGAATTCTTTTTTTTTTAAATTTTATTATTATTATACCTTAAGTTTTAGGGTACATGTGAACAATGTGCAGGTTTGTTACATATATATATACATGTGCCATGTTGGTGTGCTGCACCCATTAACTCGCCATTTAGCATGAGGTATATCTCCTAATGCTATTCCTCCCTCCTCTCCCCACCCCACAACAGTCCCCGGAGTGTGATGTCCCCCTTCCTGTGTCCATGTGTTCTCATTGTTTATTTCCCACCTATGCGTGAGAAAATGCAGTGTTTGGTTTTTTGTCCTTGCAATACTTTGCTGAGAATGATGGTTTCCAGTTTCATCTGTGTCCCTACAAAGGAAATGAACCCAACCTTTTTTATGGCTGCATAGTGTACCCCGGTGCTTATGTGCCACATTTTCTTAATCCAGTCTATCGTTGTTGGACATTTGGGTTGGTTCCAAGTCATTGCTATTGTGAATAGTGCCACAATAAACATACGTGTGCATGTGTCTTTATAGCAGCATGATTTATTATCCTTTAGGTATATACCCAGTAATGGGATGGCTGGGTCAAATGGTATTTCTAGTTCTAGATCCCTGAGGAATCGCCACACTGACTTCCACAATGTTTGAACTAATTCACAGTCCCACCAACAGTGTAAAAGTGTTCCTATTTCTCCACATCCTCTCCAGCACCTGTTGTTTCCTGACTTTTTAATGATCACCATTGTAACTGGTGTGAGATGGTATCTCATTGTGGTTTTGATTTGCATTTCTCTGATGGCCAGTGATGATGAGCATTTTTTCATGGGCTTTTTGGCTGCATAAATGTCTTCTTTTGAGAAGTGTCTGTTCATATCCTTCACCCACTTTTGATGGGGTTGTTTTTTTTCTTGTAAATTTGTTTGAGTTCATTGTAGATTCTGGATATTAGCCCTTTGTCAGATGAGTAGGTTGTGAAAATTTTCTCCCATTTTGTAGGTTGCCTGTTCACCCTGATGGTAGCTTCTTTTGCTGTGCAGAAGCTCTTTAGTTTAATTGGATCCCTTTTGTCAATTTTGGCTTTTGTTGCCATTGCTTTTGGTGTTTTAGACATGAAGTCTTTGCCCATGCCTATGTCCTGGATGATATTGCCTAGGTTTTCTTCTAGGGTTTTTATGGTTTTAGGTGAAAGGTTTAAGTCTTTAAACCATCTTGAATTAATTTTTGTATTGACCACATAGTTGGAAGTAAAGCACTCCTCAGCAAATGTAAAAGAACAGAAATTATAACAAACTGTCTCTCAGACCACAGTGCAATCAAACTAAAACTCAGGATTAAGAAACTCACTCAAAACCGCTCAACTACATGGGAACTGAACAACCTGCTCCTGAATGACTACTGGGTACATAACAAAACGAAGGCAGAAATAAAGATGTTCTTTGAAACCAATGAGAGCAAAGACACAGCATACCAGAATATCTGGGACACATTCAAAGCAGTGTGTAGAGGGAAATTTATAGCACTAAATGCCCACAAGAGAAAACAGGAAAGATCCAAAATTGACACCCTAACATCACAATTAAAAGAACTAGAAAAGCAAGAGCAAACACATTCAAAAGCTAGCAGAAGGCAAGAAATAACTAAAATCGGAACAGAACTGAAGGAAATAGAGACACAAAAAACCCTTCAAAAAATTAATGAATCCAGGACCTGTTTTTTTGAAAAGATCAACAAAATTGATAGACCACTAGCGAGACAAATAAAGAAGAAAAGAGAGAAGAATCAAATAGACACAATAAAAAAATGATAAAGGGGATATCGCCACGGATCCCACAGAAATACAAACTACCATCAGAGAATACTAAAAACACCTCTATGCAAATAAACTAGAAAATCTAGAAGAAATGGATAAATTCCTCGACACATACAACCTCCCAAGACTAAACCACGAAGAAGTTGAATCTCCAAATAGACCAATAACAATCTCTGAAATTGTGGCAATAATCAATAGCTTACCAACCAAAAAAAGTCCAGGACCAGAAGGATTCACAGCCAAATTTTAGCAGAGGTACAAGGAGGAACTGGTACCATTCCTTCTGAAACTATTCCAATCAATAGAAAAAGAGGGAATCCTCCCTAACTCATTTTATGAGGCCAGCATCATCCTGATACCAAAGCCTGGCAGAGACACCACCAAGAAAGAGAATTTTAGACCAATATCCTTGATAAACATTGATGCAAAAATCCTCAATAAAATACTGGCAAACCAAATCTAGCAGCACATCAAAAACTTATCCACCATGATCAAGTGGGCTTCATCCCTGGGATGCAAGGCTGGTTCGACATACGCAAATCAATAAATGTAATCCAGCATGTAAACAGAACCAAAGACAAAAACCATATGATTATTTCAATAGATGCAGAAAAGGCCTTTGACAAAATTCAACAACTCTTCATGCTAAAGACTCTCAATAAATTAGGTATTGATGGGACGTATCTCAAAATAATACGAGCTATCTATGACAAACACACAGCCAATATCATAATGAAAGGACAAAAACTGGAAGCATTCCCTTTGAAAACTGGCACAAGACAGGGATGCCCTCTCTCACCACTCCTATTCAATATAGTGTTGGAAGTTCTGGCCAGGGCAATTAGGCAGGAGAAGGAAATAAAGATATTCTATTAGGAAAAGAGGAAGTCAAATTGTCCCTGTTTGCAGATGACATGATCGTATATCTAGAAAACCCCATTGTCTCAGCCCAAAATCTCCTTAGGCTGATAAGCAACTTCAGCAAAGCCTCAGGATACAAAATCAATGTGCAAAAATCACAAGTATTCTTATACACCAATAACAAACAGTGAGCCAAATCATGAGTGAACCCCCATTCACAATTGCTTCAAAGAGAATAAAATACCTAGGAATTCGACTTACAAGGGATGTGAAGGACCTCTTCAAGGAGAACTACAAACAGCTGCTCAATGAAATAAAATAAGATACAAACAAATGGAAGAACTTTCCATGTTCATGGGTAGGAAGAATCAATATCGTGAAAATGAACATACTACCCAAGGTCATTTATACATTCAATGCCATCCTCATCAAGATACCAATGACTTTCTTCACTGAATTGGAAAAAAAAAATACTTTAAGTTTTATATGGAACCAAAAAAGAGCCTACATCGCCAAGTCAATCCTAAGCTAAAAGAACAGAGCCGGAGGCATTACACACTACCTGACTTCAAACTATACTACAAGGCTACAGTAACCAAAACAGAATGACACTGGTACCAAAACAGAGATATAGACCCATGGAACAGAACAGAGCCCTCAGAAATAATGTCACATATCTACAACCATCTGATCTTTGACAAAGCTGACTAAAACAAGCAATGGGGAAAGGATTGCCTATTTAATAAATGGTTTACAAAAATTAAGAAGCCAAGAGTGTTTTAAATCGAGTTTCCAAGTGGCTAGATATGACCTGCTGGTCACTCTTATATTTTTTCTCCTATTTTTTTCTCCATTCATTGAGCTATGTTTGACAAATTGAAAAGTGTATATTTTTAGGGTGTACAAGAGGGTTTTGAGATGTGTATACATCTTTAAATTATCTCAATTAAGCTAGTTACCATATGTGTCCCCTCACATAGTTAATACATTTCTGTGTGTGTGTTGAGAGAACCTGAGATCTACTTTTGCAACAAATTTCAAGTACACAGTATTGTTAACTATAGTCACCATTGTGTACATTAGGTCCCCAGCAGTTACTCACCTTATAACTGAAAGTGAACCCCTTCCATGGATATCTCCCCACTTTCCCTCTTACTAGCCCATGGGGACCACCGTTCTACTCTCTTTCCATGACTTTTTAATTTTTATTTGCTTTTCTAGATTTTACATACAAACGAGATCATGCAGTAATTGTCCTTCTGTATTCAGCTTAAGCTTTCTCTTAGCATAATATGTTCAAAATTTATCAGTATTTTTTGTAAATGAAAGTTTCATTTTTTATTAAAGCTGAAATTATATACCTCTCAGTTTATTTATTTATCTGTATCAGAGGAGTGCAGATACCCTTGACGATACTGACTTTATTTCCTTTGGCTATATACTCCGAATTGGGATTAATGGTAGTTCTAGTTTAAAAATTATAAGGAACCTCCATGCTGTTTTTCATAATAGCTGCACCATTTGACATCCTCAGCAACAGTGTGCAAGTGTTCTCTTTTCTCTGCACCCTAATGATTTTATCCTTTGACTTTTTGATAATAGGTATCCAAACACCACGATAAGGTGATACCTCATTGTGATTTTGATTTTAATTACTCTGATAATTAGTGATGTTGAACATTTTTTATATATCTATTGGCCATTTGTATATCTTTGGAAAAATTGCTATTTATATATTTTACCCAATTATTAATCAAGAAATTGCTTTTAATTCTGCTGTGGGTTCTTCTTTTGTATTGAATAGTATGATATACGTTTTGGATAGCAACATATTATCCCACCTATGGTTTAGAAATGTTTTCTCCCATTTCATATAATGCCTTTATATTTTGCTGATTGTTTCCTTTATTGGGCAGAAACTTTTTACTTTGACATAGTTCCACTTGTTCATTTTTGCATTTGTTGACTGCGCTCCTGCTGCCAAATCCAAAGCATCATTGCCATGACCAGTGTCAAGGAGGTTTTTCCCCATTTTTTTAGAGGATTCATGATTTCAGTTCTTATGTTTAAGTCTTTATTTCATTTCAAATTCATTTTGTGATGGTATGAGAGAAAGGTGTACTTTTTGTCTCTGCATATCTAGTTTTTCCTACACCACTCCTTGATGTGTTTATCCTTTCTCTATTCTGTGGGATAGGTTGACTGTATATTTGTGAGTTTATTTCTGGGTCCCCTATTCTGTTATATTGGTTTTTATGTAGGTACTATACTATTTTGATGGCTATAGTTTTGTAATACAGTTTGAAATCAGGAAGTGGGAGGCTTCCAGCCTTTTTGTTCTTCTCAGTATTTGGCTATTTGAGGTCTTTTGTGATTCCATACTAATTTTAAAATAGTTGTTCTGCATTTTTAATAAAATGGCATTAAAATTTTGATAGAAATTTATTTAACCCTGTAGATCACTTTGTGTACTATGGATATTTTAACAATATTTTTAGAATCCATGCATACAGGATATATTTCCCATTTTGTATTCTTCATTTTCTTTCCTCAACATTTTATAGTTTTCAGTATGCTGATTTTTCATATTCTTTTTTCTAAGTGTTCCATTCCAACACTTTGTTCCTAAGTGTTCCATTCTATTTGATAATATCGTAAATGGAATTATCTTTATTCCTTTTTCAGATATTTTATTGTTACTGTAAAAACATGCACCTGATGTTCATATGTTAATATTGTATCCTGAAAATTTACTGAATTGGTTAGTTATAACAGGTTTTTTTTTTCTTTGTGGTAAAATGGTGGGTATTCTGAACTCTGGTTAAACTTTAAATTGATAGTTGCTATTATCATTTCAAAATTATTTAAAGTATAACCAGATGGATTCCTTCTTTCATGAATTCAAGTCTTCCCATTCAAAATAATTATGTGTGGTTGACCTGGGTCCTGGGGATTTGGGTCCCCCCGTGGGAGCCAGGAGATTCGGTCGGGGGTGGGAGGGAGAAGCGGTCAGAGAGGGGACAGAGCTGGGGAAGCAAAGAGGGGCTCCAGGACAGCCAGGAGGAGAGAGGGTCGTGTCGGAGACCCAGTGGGGAGAGAGAGTGGGCCAGAAAAGGAAGAAGGGTGAGAGGGGGAAACAGGACAGCTTCCCGGCGCGGCAGGGAATTTTGCTGAAACTGAGGGCCCCAGGGAACAGCGTGGGCAGGGTGGGAGGGAGTGGAGAGGACCCAACAGACTCCAAGGTCAGTGTGGAGAAAGGGACATTTCCCGGTTCATTCGCCTCTGCCCAGCGTTCTGCGGGCATGGAACCCCCAGGGGCAGGGGAGGAGGTGGCTCCCGGCGGGCTCGGAGAACTAAGGGGTGCACACCCACTTCGCAGGGCGGGGGTGAAAGGGGAAGACTGAGAGGGCTGTGGATCTCGCTGGCCCCGTGGGTGGGCGCGGGAGTGGGGGGGGCGGGTCCGAGCTCAGGGGCCCAGCGCCGGGGCCTGCAGGTGGTCCTGGAGGAATCTACAAGCACCAGCCAGTGCAGCAGGATTTCCAGAAAACCAGTGTGGATGGCGCCCTGGACACGCCCTTCCCAGCTGGAACATGTGTGAGGCTGAAATTTAAGCTCCGGCAGACAGAGAAGTGGCCGGAGAAAGGATTGGAAGAAACCCAAGTGCCAAGTCCAGCCCGAGGGGAGGAAGCAGAAATGGCTGACCTGCATCAAACTGGGCTGTCAGGATAAGGTTCTGGGCAGGATGGTTCGCTGCCCTCCAGAGACGCAGACTCGGCAGGAGCCTGAGGAGCACCAGGAGACCCGGTGCAGCTGGGCGGAGCGGGCGGTAAGGACCCCAGAGCTGCTGCTTCCCTGCACAGTTCGCCTTCTCCAAGGCCCGGCCCCCAGCGGAGTCCAGCGCTGAATCGCATGGCGCCCACTGAAGCCCTGGCGGGGGTAACCAGTGGAAGATCTCACCTCCCAGGGAGAAGACTCCACTGTATCCTCAGTTAATAAAACTGTTCTCTCTCCCCAAAAATAAATAAATAATTTTGTCTGGTCTTTGAAAATGTGTATCCTCTGTCTACTGGTCAAAATGCTGCCCATTTATCCATATGCCTAATTAGTCAAACTTTTTAACCTTGTTTTTTATTATGAAACAAAACAGTAAATTTGTTAATGGTTTAGCTATCATCTAATATGATTGAAAATATGTCAATTTGTCATTGCCGATGAACCTTTGTGTTATTTATTGTACTGTTACATATTCTGTCCATAAATGTCTAAGGGGCTTAGAACCTTGCCTAACATATTGTATGTGCTAAGTACCAACTACTCTAATGCGTCAAATTGTCTTTCTATACCATTCTTAAAATAGAATATTTTTTATTTATTTTTATTAAAAATTTTTTTGCCTAATCTAATTATTTACGAAAATTATGAGGTCTACTCAGTTTGTCCTCTTGATAAAAGCCAAAGTTTTTTTCTTCTCTCTTATTTTTTTGAGACGGAGTCTCCCTCTGTTCCCCAGACTGGAGTGCAGTGACACAATCTCGGCCCACCACAACCTCCACTTCCCGGGTTCAAGTGATTCTCCTGCTTCAACCTCCCGAGTAACTGGGACTACTATGCTCCACCATGCCAGGCTAATTTTTGTATTTTTAGTAGAGACGGGGTTTCACTATATTGGCCAGGCTGGTCTTCAACTCCTGACCACGTTAACTGCCCGCATTAGCCTCCCAAAGTGCTGGGATTATAGGCTTGAGCCACTGCACCAGGCCTTTTTTTTCTCTATATTAATACGTTAAAGAGTACAAATGCAGCTCCCTCACAGAAGCATGTTGCATAATGATGAAGTATGGGCTTTTGGTGTGACAACATCATCTGAATGCTCTTTATTGTCCCAATTAGTTATTTTCTCATTCCTAAACCCTCTGCCAACCTCCCAACTTTCTGAGTCTCCAGTGTCTATTTTTCCAGTCTCTGTATCCAAGTGTATGCATAATTGAGTTCACACTTACAAGTGAGAAAATGAAGAATTTGATTTTCTGTTTCTGAGGTTTTTCACTTACAATAATGGCCTCTGGTTTTATTCATGTTGTGCAAAAGACGTGATGTTATTCTTCTTCATGGCTGAGTAGCATTCCATGGTATAAACGTATAGCACACTTTCTTTATTCGATTATTGACTGATAAATTTAAATTGATTTCATATATTGGTTATTGTGAATAGTGTTGCAATAAACATATGAGTGTGGGTATTTTCTTTGTGTAATAAATTATTTTCCTTTGGGTAGATACAAAGTAGTGGGACTGCAGAATCAAATGGAAGTTCTACTTTTAGTCTTTTTTGAAATCTCCATACAGTTTTCCATAGAGGTTGTAGAAAGTTACATTCCCACAAGCAATGTCTAAGTGTTCTCTTTTCTCTGTATCCTTGCCAATATTTCATTTTTCTGCTTTTCAGTAATAGCAATTCTGAATGGTGTAAGTTGGTATCTCATTGTGGTTTTTAATTGGCATTTCTCTGATCATTGACAACGTTGAGCATCTTTTACGTGCTTGTTGACCATCGTTGTCTTTTTTTATTTAAATGTTCATGTTCTTTGCTTGCTCATTGTCTTTTTTTTAAAAAATGTTCATGTTCTTTGCTTGCTTTTTAAGGTTATTTGTTTTATTTTTATTTTATTGAGCTGTTTGAGTTCTTTGTATATTCTGGATGTTAGATCTTTGTCACATGCAAAACTTGTAAACATTATCTCGTTCCATAGGTTTTCTGTTCACTGTGTTAATTAAAAAGCATTTTTAGGAGATTTTTAGTTTAATTAAGTTCCTTTTGTCTATTTTTGTTATTGTTACATCTGCTTTTGAGATCTTAGTCATAAATTCTTTGTCCAAGTCAATCTCTAGAAGAATTTATCCTAGCATTTCTCCTAGCATTTTTATAGTTTCAGGTCTTACATTTTAGTCTTTTAATCCATATTTAGTTGACTTTTGCATATGGTGGGACATAGGGGTCCCATTCCTTACTTCTGCATACGGAAATATAATTTTTCCAGCACAATTTATTGACTAGGATGTCATTTCTCCAGTGTATGTTTTTGCTGACTTTGTAAAATATAAGTTGTTTGTAGGTATGTGGCTTTATTTCTGGGTTCTCTATTCTGTACCATTGATCTATGTGTCGATTTATATCAGTACCATGCTATTTTGGTTACTAAAGCCTTCTAGTATAATTTTAAGTCAGATAATGTAATATCTCCAGCTTTGTTCTCTTTGCTTAGATTTGCTTTGGCTATTCAGGCTCTTTTTGTGGTTCCATGTGAATTTTAGATTTTTTTTTCTAATTTTATAAGAAATAACATTGGCATTTTGGTAGGAATTGCATTTAACATGTAGATTGCTTTGGGCAGTAGAGTCATTTTAATAATCATAATTCTTCCAATCCATGAGCATGGGATGTTTTTCTCATTTGTGTCATGTACAATTTCTTTCATCAGTGTTTTGTAGTTTTCCTTGTAGGGATCTGTCATCTCTTTGACTAATTGTATTTCTAAGCATTTTACCTTTTATGTAGCTATTGTAAAAGGAAGTGACATTTTAATTCGGTTCTCAGCTTGATCATCATTAGTGTATAAAAATGCTACTAATTTCTGTAAGTTGATTTTTGCATTCTGAAACATTATTAAATTTATTTATCAAATCTAAGAGTTTTTTTGGTGGTCTTTACATCTTTTGTATATATGATTATTATGTAATCATCAAAGAGGGAAAATTTGACTTTCCAATTACAACCACATAGAGGATCCCACCAAGACCAATAGACAGAGTCTCTGGGGAGGGCACAGGTGATGGTATTTCTTTAAGCTGGCCATATGATTATGGCTGGAAGCATGGGCCGAGAGCCACTTAGCTAAGCATTGCCTCTCAAGTTTCTAAGTTTCTTCTTTCTTCCTTCCTTCTTTTGACAGAGTTTTCACTCATTGTCCAGGCAGGCGTGCAGTGGCGCCATCTTGGCTCACTGCAACCTCCACCTCCCAGGTTCAAGTGATTCTCCAATCTCAGCCACACGAGTAGTTAGGATTACAGGCACCAGCCACCACACCTGGCTAATTTTTGTATGTTTTAGTAGAGACATGGTTTGTCCATGTTGCCCAGGCTGGTCTTGAACCCCTGACCTCAGGTGGTCTGCCCACTTTGGCCTCCCAAAGTGTTGGGATTACAGGCGTGAGCCACCACGCCCGGTTGCTCCTCAAGTTTCAATGTGCCTATGAATTATTGCTGATTCCCGACTCTCTCTTAGAGATGTGATTCTGAAGGTTTGGAAGGGGTCCGTGAATTGGCTTCTTTAAAAAGTCTCCTCTTAATGCTGATGTTTCTTCCACTACATCCAATATAGTAGCACTCAGCTAGCGAAAGTAGGCACAGCACAGAGCTCATGACACCCAACACTCTTACCACAACACAAGTACTTTTGGCCCAAAGTGGAAACCACCAATCACCTTTTTCAAACATGTCATTTTCTGCTGGCTCTTTACAGTTTAGAAAGCCTAGAGAAGGCACCAATGTTTGAGTAAGTCTGCATTTGGAAAACATGTACACATGAGTTAATACAATCTTTATTGAGCACGTACTATGTGTTCAGAAGTCTGTTACAGAGCACTGTTCAGGAAATATTACATGATGTGAGTTAGTCCTCATAGCACACTGGCAGCTGGGTGCTAAGTTTTCTGTAATTTTCAGGATTTAAATGACAGGCCTAGCATTTCTATTTTTTCTTCCATTTTAAAAAGTATTTACCTGAAAAACAAAATGTGCAGAATAAAAGCTATGTCGACAGATGCAAGGGATAGAGAAAAAAGGGTGAACTGTTCAGAGAGATGTTTTATATTTATATTTACTTTCTGTGCCTTGTGTAGCAGCCACTGGATTTGCAAGAATGGAAAACAAGTTGCTAGATAGGATGCCTCTAGAAGCACTGGCTTCAATAGAAAAGAAATTATGGTCCCCAAATATGCAATGATTTTCTTCCATTTATCTGCTTTTCCACTTTAGGAAATTGTGGGCACCAACTCAGGAGGCAGCAGGAGCCCCCGCCCGAATCTCTGGTCTCCTTTAATCAGTTCTGAGGCAGCAGGAGCCCCCGCCCAAATCTCTGATCTCCTTGAATCAGTTCTGTGAGAAAAGATTCTAGGGTGAGGCCAGACCTGGGTGAAGCCATAGAAGAGGGTGGATCTGGGCAGGGCTGGAACAGAAAGTGGACCCCATGTTTCAGATGTCCATGCTGGTGGAGTATTTCTAGTTCTGTCTTTCCTAAGCCTGCCTAACAGAGACTTGACTCTTAGAGCTTGTGTAATTTTAATCTGGTTTAGCCACTTCCCTGTCAATTTTTATAACACATGATAAAAAGAAACTTAAGTAAAACTCTTAGGATTTTTTAGGATAATTATATGAGAAGCTAAAAACTCATGCCAGACGCAGTGGCTCATGCCTGTAATCCGAGTATGTTGGGAGGCCAAGGCAGGCGAATCACGAGGTCAGGAAATCAAGACTATCCTGGCTAACATGGTGAAACCCCGTCTCTACTAAAAATACAAAAAATTAGCTGGGTGTGGTTGTCGGTGCCTGTCGTCTCAGCTACTTGGGAGGCTGAGGCAGGAGAATGGCATCAGCCTGGGAGGCGGAGCTTGTGGTGAGTTGATATTGTGCCACTGCACTCCAGCCTGGGCGACAGAGTGAGACTCTGTCTCAAAAAAAAAAAAAAAACAAAACTTATTTTTACCAAAATAAAAGAAACAGAAATAACCACAACAATAACAATAATTCTTCTGTCCATGAATAGCCCTTCAGGTGGTGACATCAGAACTCAGAGGAACAGCATAAGGGAAGTGGAGCAAATGCAGCCAAAGTCCCCTGTGCAGCTCCCTTCTCCCGTCCCACCACAGGATGCTGAATTCAGCCATTAAGCCGTTTGTACTAGATGGAAAGTTTCTGGACAGTAGAAACCATGAATTCTTCATCTGTTTTTCTGATGGTCATGTGATGTAGTTTAGATGCCCCTCTAACTCTCATATTGAATTTTAATCCCCAATGTGGCAGGTGGGGTCTGAGGAAGAGGTGGTTGAATCATGGGGTGTGGCCCTCATGGCTCTGTGCCATCCTTGTGATAGTGAGTACTCATGAGATCTGGTTGTTTAGAAGTATGGCCCATCCCTCCCTCATTTTTCTTGCTCCTGCTTCTATCATGTGAGATGCCTGCTCTTCTTTCATCATAATTGTAAGCTTCCCGAGGCCTTCCCAGAGGCCGACGCTGGTGCTATGCTTCCTGTACAGCCTGCATAACCATGAGCCAATCAAACCCTTTTCTTACACATTACCCAGACTCAGATTTTTGAAATAGCAACGCAATAATAGCTTAATACAACATATGAAAAGAAGGCAATGAATATATTTATCAGTTTGAGTCTCCAGGCCTCTGCCTTGCTTCAACTCAAAGAGCAGGAAGTGAGCAACCCCTATCTACTGCTCTTGATCATGGGAGAATCTTCGGTTCATCTTAAAACATTTCAGTCAAAAGCCCCGTGTTTTATGTAGAAGAAGAAGGGTGTCTGAAAGAATGGGTCGCTTTATTTATTTTTATTTCTTAGACAGGGTCCGTTTCCCTGTCATTCTGGCTGGGGTGCTGTGGCTTACTACAGCTTTGATATTCTGTGCTCCAGCGATTCTCCCACCTCAGCCTCCCAAGTAGCTGGGACCACAGTTGCACACTACCACAACTGGATAATATTTGTATTTTTGGCAGAGATGAGGTTTTGTTACGTTGAGCAGGCTTGTCTTTAACTCCTGAGCTCAAGTGATCCCCCATCCTCCACCTTTCAAAGTGTGAAATTACAGGTGTTAGCCACCACACCGGGCAGATAGGTCTTAACTAATTTCAAACAGGGTACCTGAGCATGGAAGACATACTCTTAATTTTTTTTCCTAATACAATATTTGACAGTTATGAGGGAATTAGTCAAGATGGCTGTATAGGTACAGCTCCAGTCTACAGCTCCCAGAGTGAGCGATGCAGAAGATGGGTGATTTCTGCATTTCCAACTGAGGTACTGGGTTCATCTCACTGGGGAGTGCTGGACAGTGGGTGCAGGACAGTGGGTGCAGAGCACTGTGCATGAACCAAAGTAGGGTGAGGCATTGCCTCACCCAGGAAGTGCAAGGGGTCAGGGAATTCCCTTTCCTAGTCAAAGAAAAGGGTGACAGACAGCGCCTGGAAAATCAGGTCACTCCCACTCTAATACTGCGCTTTTCCAATGGGCTTAACAAACGGCATACCAGGAGATTACATCCTGCACTTGGCTCGGAAGGTCCGATGCCCATGGAGACTCACTCATTGCTAGTGCAGCAGTCAGAGATCAAACTGCAAGGCAGCAGCAAGGCTGTGGGAGGGATGCCCGCCATTGCCGAGGATTCAGTATGTAAAACAGCAGCTGGGAAGCTCGAATTGGTTGGAGCCCACCACAGCTCAAGGAGGCCTGCCTGCTTCTGTAGGCTCCACCTCTGGGGGCAGGGCACAGACAAACAAAAGGCAGCAGTAACCTCTGCAGACTTAAATGTCCCTGTCTGACAGCTTTGAAGAGAGTAGTGGTTCTCCCAGCATGCAGCTTGAGATCTGAGAATGGGCAGACTGTCTCCTCAAGTGGGTCCCTGAACCCCGAGTAGCCTAAGTGGGAGGCACCCCCCAGTAAGGGCGGACTGACACCTCACATGGCAGGGTACTCCTCTGAGACAAAACTTCCAGAGGAATGATCAGGCAGCAGCATTTGCGGTTCACTAATATCTGCTGTTCTGAAGCCACTGCTGCTGATACCCAGGCAAATAGGGTCTGGAGTGGACCTCCAGCAAACTCCAACAGACCTGCAGCTGAGGGTCCTGAATGTTAGAAGGAAAACTAACAAACAGAAAGGACATCCACACCAAAAACCGATCTGTACATCACCATCATCAAAGACCAAAGGTAGATAAAACCACAAAGATGGGGAAAAAATAGAGCAGAGAAACTGGAAACTCTAAAAATCAGAGCGCCTCTCCTCCTCCAAAGGAACACAGCTCCTCACCAGCAATGGAACAAAGCTGGATGGAGAATGACTTTGACAAGTTGAGACAAGAAGGCTTCAGAAGATCAAAGTACTCCAAGCTAAAGGCGGAAGTTCGAATGAATGGCAAAGAAGTTAAAAACCTTGAAAAAAAATTAGACGAATGGCTCACTAGAATAACCAAAGCAGAGAAGTCCTTAAAGGACCTGATGGAGCTGAAAACCGTGGCACGAGAAATACGTGACAAATGCACAAGCCTCAGTAGCCAATGAGATCACCTGGAAGAAAGGGTATCAGCAATGGAAGATGAAATGAATGAAGTGAAGTGAGAAGAAATGTTTAGAGAAAAATGAAAAAAAAGAAATGAACAAATCCTCCAAGAAATATGGTACTATGTGAAAAGACCAAATGTAGGTCTGATTGGTGTACCTGAAAGTGACGGGGAGAATGGAACCAAGTTGGAAATCACTCTGCAGTATATTATCCAGGAGAACTTTCCCAATCTAGCAATGCAGGCCAACACTCAAATTCAGGAAATGCAGAGAATGCCACAAAAATAATCCTCGAGAAGAGCAACTCCAAGACACATAATTGTCAGATTCACCAAAGTTGAAATGAAGGAAAAAATGTTAAGGGCAGCCAGAGGGAAAGGTCGGGTTAACCACAAAGGGAAACCAATCACACTAACAGCAGACATCTCAGCAGAAACTCTACAAGCCAGAAGAGAGTGGGGGCCAATATTCAACATTCTTAAAGAAAAAAAATTTCAACCCAGAATTTCATATCCAGTCAAACAAGCTTCATCAGTGAAGGAGAAATAAAATACTTTACAGACAAGCAAATGTTGAGAGATTTTGTCACCACCAGGCCTGCCCTAAAAGAGCTCCTGAAGGAAGTACTAAACGTGGAAAGGAAAAATTGGTACCAGCCACTGCAAAAACATGCCAAATTGCAAAGACCATTAAGGCTAGGAAGAAACTGCATCAACTAACGAGCAAAATAACCAGCTGACATAGTAATAACAGGATCAAATTCACACATAACAATATGAACCTTAAATGTAAATGGCCTAAATGCTCCAATTAAAAGACACAGACTGGCAAATTGGATAAAGAGTCAAGACTCATCAGTGTGCTGTATTCAGGAAACCCATCTCACGTGCAGAGACACACATAGGCTCAAAATAAAGGGATGGAGGAAGATCTACGAAGCAAATGGAAAACAGAATAAGGCAGGGGTTGCAATCCCAGTCTTGGATAAAACAGACTTTAAACCAACAAAGATCAAAAGAGACAAAGAAGGCCATTACATAATGGTAAAGGGATCAATTCAACAAGAAGAGAAAACTATCCTAAATATACATGCACCCAATACAAGAGCACCCAGATTCATGGAGCAAGTCCTTAGTGACCTACAAAGAGACGTAGACTCCCACACAATAATAACGGGAGACTTTAACACCCCACTGTCAACATTAGACAGATCAGTGAGACAGAAATTTAACAAGGATATCCAGGAATTGAACTCAGCTCTGCACCAAGCAGACCTAACAGACATCTACAGAACTCTCCTCCCCAAATCAACAGAATATACATGTTTTTCAGCACCACACCACAACTATTCCAAAATGGACCACATAGTTGGAAGTAAAGCACTCCTCAGCAAATGTAAAAGAACAGAAATTATAACAAACTGTCTCTCAGATCACAGTGCAATCAAACTAGAACTCAGGATTAAGAAACTCACTCAAAACCGCTCAGCTACATGGAAACTTAACAGCCGGCTCCGAAATGACTATTAGGTACATAACGAAATGAAGGCAGAAATAAAGCTGTTTTTTGAAACCAACGAGGACAGATACACAACATACCAGAATCTCTGGGACACATTCAAAGCAGCGTGTAGAGGGAAATTTATAGCACTAAATGAACACAAGAGAAAGCAGGAAAAATCTAAAATTGACACCCTAACATCACAATTAAAAGAAATAGAGAAGCAAGAGCAAACACATTCAAAAGCTAGCAGAAGGCAAGAGATAACTAAGATCAGAGCAGAACTGAAGGAAATAGAGACACAAAAAACCCCTCAAAAAATTAATGAGTCCAGGAGCTGGTTTTTTGAAAAGATCAACAAAATTGATAGACCACTGGCAAGACTAACAAAGAAGAAAAGAGAGAAGAATCAAATAGACGCAATAAAAATTGATAAAGGGGATATCACCACTGATCCCACAGACATACAAACTACCATCAGAGAATACTATAAACACCACTACGTAAATAAACTAGAAAATCTAGAAGAAATGGATAAATTCCTCGACACATACACCCTCCCAAGACTAAACCAGGAAGAAGTTGAATCTCTGAATAGACCAGTAACAGACTCTGAAGTTGAGGAAGTAATTAATAACTTACCAATCAAAAAAAGTCCAGAAGCAGATGGATTCACAGCCGAATTGTACCAGAGGTACAAGGAGGAGCTGGTACCATTCCTTCTGACGCTATTCCAACCAATAGAAAGACAGAATCCTCCCTAACTTATTTTATGAGGCCAACACCATCCTGACACGAAAGTCTGACAGAGACACAACAAAAAAAGACAATTTTAGACCAATATTCTTGATGAACTTTGATGCAAAAATCCTCAACAAAATACTGGCAAACCGAATCCAGCAACACATTAAAAAGCTTATCCACCATGATCAAGTGGGCTTCATCCCTGGGATGCAAGCCTGGCTCAATATATGCAAATCAATAAACGTAATCCAGCATATGAACAGAACCAAAGACAAAAACCACATGATCATATCAATAGATGTAGAAAAGGCCTTTGACAAAATTCAACAACACTTCATGCTAAAAACTCTCAATAAATTAGATATTGATGGGACGTATCTCAAAATAATAAGAGCTATCTATGACAAACCCACAGCCAATATCATACTGAACAGGCAAAAACTGTAAGCATTCCCTTTGAAAACTGGCACAAAACAGGGATGTCCTCTCTCACCACTCCCATACAACATAGTGTTGGAAGTTCTGGCCAGGGGAATTAGGCAGGAGAAGGAAATAAAGGGCATTCAATTGGGAAAAGAGGAATTCAAATTGTCCCTGTTTGCAGATGACATGATTGTATATATAGAAAACACCATCGACTCAGTCCAAAATCTCCCTCACTTAGGATTGTGAGGGCAAAACATTTAGACACAGGAAGCATTGTTCTGGAATCCACCACCGCCCTCACTGATTGTCCCTCACCTAGGATTCCAGAACATTCCTGATCTGGTCTGAATGTTTCTCCCTCAGACAGGATTCCAGAACACTGCTGCTGGGTTCTGAGTGTTTGTCCCTCACGTACGATTACAGAACACTGATATGTGGGTCTAAATGTTTGTCCTTCACATAGGATTCCAGAACAATCTTGCTGTGGTCTGAATGTTTGTCCCTCACATTTTATTCCAGAACACGGCTGCTGTGGTCTGAATGTTTGTCCCTCACTTAAGATTCCAGAACACCCAAGATGTGGTATGAATGATTGTCCTCACATAGGATTCCAGAACACTGCTACTGGGTTCTGAGTGTTTCTCAATCACATAGGATTCCAGAACAATGCTATGAGTTCCTGAATGTTTGTACCTCACATAGGATTCCACAACACTCCTCTTCCAGTCTCAATATTTCTCCATCAGATAGGGTTCCAGAACACTACTGCTGGGTTCTGAGTGGATTTCCGTCACGTAAGATTCCAGGACACTGTTACGTGGGTCTAAGTGTTTGTCCATCACAAAGGATTCCAGAACACTCCTACGAATGTCTGAAAGTTTATCCATCACATTGGATTCCAGAACACTGCTGCTGGGTTCTCAGTGTTTGTCCCTCACACAAGATTCCGGAACACTGATATGAGGGTCTGAATGTTTGTTCCTCACATAGGACTCCAGAACACTCCTGCTGTGGTCTGAATGTTTGTCCCTTACCCAGGATTCCAGAACACTGTTGCTGTGGTCTGAATGTTTGTCTCTCACATTGGATTCCAAAACATTGCTGCTGTGGTCTGTATGTTTGTCCCTCACATAGAATTCTAGAGCACTCCTGTTGTGGTCTGAATGTTTGTCCCTCACTTAGGATTCCAGAACTCTGCTCTTGGGTTCTGAGTTTTTGTCCCTCAAGTACGATTCCAGAACACTGCTATGTGGGTCTAAATATTTGTCTGTCACATAGAATTCCACAACACTCCTGCTGTAGTCTGAATGTTTTTCCCTCAGATAGGATTCCAGAAAACTGTTGCTGGGATTGAGTATTTGTCCCTCACGTACGATTCCAGAACAAGGCTACGTGAGTCTGCATGTTTGTACCTCATATAGGATTTGAGAACACTGCTAAGAGGATCTGAAAGTTTGTCCCTTAAATAGGATTCCAGAACACTGCTGCTGTGGTCTGAATGTTGTCCTCACTTAGGATTCTAGAACCCTCCTGCTGTGGACTGAATGTTTGTCCCTCACTTAGGATTCCAGAACAGTGCTACGAGGGTCTGAATGTTTGTCCCACACTTAGGATTCCAGAACACTGATGATGTGGTCTGTATGTTTATCCATCACATAGGATTCCAGAACAACTCTACGAGGTTCTGAATTGTTCTCCGTCACATAGGATTCTAGAACACTCCTGCTTTGGTCTGAATTTTTCTGCCTCACATAGGATTCGAGAACACTGCTACGAGGGTCTGAATGATTGTACCTCACATAAGATTCCAGAAAAATCATGCTGTTGTCTGAATATTTGTCCCACAGATAGGTGTCCAGAACACTGCTGCTGTTTTCTGAGTGTTTGTACCTCACGTAAGATTCCAGAACAATGCTACGTGGGTCTAAATGATTGTCCATAACACAGAATTCCAGAACACTGCTAAGAGAGTCTGAAAATTTGTCCATCATATAGGATTCTAGAACACTTCTACGGGGTTCTGAAATATTCTCCATCGTATAGGATTCTACAACACTCCTGCTGTGGTCTGAATTTTTGTCCCCCACTTAGGATTCCAGAACACTGCTGTTGGGTTCTGAGTGTTTGCCCCTCACGTACGATTCAAGAACACTGCTACGTAGGAATAAATCTTTGTCCCTCACATAGGATTCCAGAACATTGCTGCCGGGTTCTGAATGTTTTTCCCTCACATAGGATTCCAGTACACTGCTACGAGGTTCTGAATGTTTCTCCCGAACAAAAGATTCCAGAACACTGTTACGATGGTCTGAATGTTTTTGCCTCACATAGGATTCCAGAACACTGCTGCTGGGTTTCGAGTGTTTGTCGCTCATATAGGATTCCAGAACACAGCTACGAAGGTCTGAATGTTTGTCCATCACATAAGGTTCCAGAACACTGCTACGAGGGTCTGAATGTTTGTCCCTCAGATAGGGTTCCACAACACTGCTGCTTTCGTCTGAATGTTTATCCCTCACATAGGATTCCAGAACACTCCTGCTGTGGTCTGAATGTTTGTCCCTCACCCACGATTCCAGAACACTGCTGCTGTGGTCAGAGTGTTTGTCCCTCACATAGGATTCCAGAACACTCCTGCTGTGGTCTGTATGTTTGTCCTTCACTTAGGATTCTGGAACAATGCTACGGGGGTCTGTATGTTTGTCCCACACGTAGGATTCCAGAACACCCCAGCTGTGGTCTGAATGATTGTCCCTCACATAAGATTCCAGAATACTGCTGCTGCATTTTATGTGTTTCTCCCTCTCATGGGATTCCAGAACACTCCTACTGTGCTTTGAATGATTGTCCCTCACTTAGGATTCCAGAACACTGCTGCTGGGTTCTAAGTGTTTGTCCCTCACTTACGATTCCAGAACACTGCTACGTGAGTCTTAATGTTTGTAACTCTCATAGGATTCCATAACACTCCTGCTGTGATCTGAATGTTTGTACCTCACATAGGATTCCAGAACACTGCTGGTGGATTCTGAGTGTATCTCCTTCACATAAGATTCCAAAACACAGCTACAAGGGTCTGAATGTTTGTACCTCACATGCTATTCCAGAACACTGCTGCTGTGGTCTGAATTTTTGTTCATCACAAAAGATTCCAGAACACTCCTGCTGTGGTCTGAATGTTTGTCCCTCGTTTAGGATTTGAGAACACTGCTGTTGGGTTCTGAGTGCTTGTCCCTCAAGTACATTTCAAGAACACTGCTAGGTGGGTGTAAATGTTTGTCCCTCACATAGGACTCCAGAACACTGCTACGAGGCTCTGAATGTTTGTCTCTCACATAGGATTCCAGAACACTGATGCTGTGGTCTGAATGTTTGTCCCTAACATAGGATTCCAGAACACTTCTGCAGTTGTCTGAATGTTCATCCCTCATTTAGGATTCCAGAACACTGCTGCTGTGGTCTGAATTTTTGTTCATCACATAGGATTACAGAACACTGCTACGAGGTTCTGAACTATTCTATGTCACATAGGATTTCAGAACACTCCTGCTGTGTTCTGAATGTTTGTCCCTTACTTAGGATTCCAGATCACTGCTGTTGGGTTCTGAGATTTAGTCCCTCGTGTAAGATTCCAGAACACTGCTATGTGGGTCTAAATGTTTGTCCGTCCCATAGGATTCCAGAACACTCCTGCTGTGGTCTGAATGTTTGTCCCTCATATAGGATTCCAGAAAACTGTTGCTGGGATTGAGGGTTTTTCCCTCACGTACTATTCCAGAACACTGCTACGTGGGACAGAATGTTTGCCCCACATATGGGATTTGAGAACGCTGCTAAGAGGATCTGAAACTTTGTCCCTCAAACAAGATTCCAGAACACTGCTGCTGTTGTCTGAATGTTGTACTCACTTAGTATTCCAGAACGCTACTGCTTTGGACTGAATGTCTGTTCCTCACTTAGGATTCCATAACAGTACTACGAGGGTCTGAATGTTTGTCCCACACGTAGGATTCCAGAACACCCCAGCAGTGATCTGAATGACTCTCCCTCACATAGGATTCCAGAACACTGCTGCTGGGTTCTGAGTGTTTCTCCTCACATATGATTCCAGAACACTGCTTCGAGAATCTGAATGATTGTACCTCATATAGGATTCCATAACACTACTGCTCTGGTTTGAATATTTCTCCCTCAGATAGGATTCCAGAACACTGCTGCTGGCTTCTGAGTGTTTGTCCCTCACATAGGATCCAAGAACACTGCTACGTGTGTCTAAATGCTTGTCCATCACATAGGATTCCAGAACGCTGCTACAAAGGTCTGAAAGTTTGTCCATCACATAGAATTCCAGAACACTGCTATGAGTGTCTGAATATTTGTCCCTCAAATAGGATTCCAGAACACTCCTGTTTGGTTCTGAGTGTTTGTCCCTCACTTACGATTCCAGAACACTGCTACGTGGGTCTAAATATTTCTCCCACACATAGGATTCCAGAACACTCCTGCTGTATTCTGAATGTTATTTCCCTCACATAGGATTCCAGAATACTGCTGCTGGGTTCACAGTGTTTGTCCCACACATAGGATTCCAGAACACTGCTACGAGAGTCTGAATGTCTCTCCTCCACATAGGACTCCAGAACACTGCTATGAGGGTCTGAATGTTTGTACCTGACATAGGAATCCAGAACACTACTGTTCTGCTGTGAATGTTTGTCCCTCACATATGATTCCAGAACACTCCTGCTGTGGTCTGAATGTCTGTCCCTCTCTGAGGATTCCAAAAGAATGCTACGAGTGTCTGAATGTTTATGTCACACGAAGGATTTCAGAACACCACAGGTGTGGTTTGAGTGATTGACCCTCACATAGGATTCCATAACGCTGCTACTGGGTTCTGAGTGTTTGTCCCTCACGTACGATTCCAGAACACTGCTACTTGGGTCTAAATGTTTGTCCCTTATATAGGACTCCAGAACAGTGTTACGAGGGTCTGAAAGTTTTTCCATCACATAGGATTTCAGACACTGCTACGAGTTTCTTAATTATTCCCCGTCACATATGATTCCAGAACAGACCTGCTGTCGTCTGACTGTTTGTCCCTCAGGATACCAGAACACTGCTGGTGTGTTCTGAGTGTTTGTCCCTCACGTAAGATTCCAGAACACTGCTACGTGGGTCTAAATGTTTGTCCCTCACATACTATTCCAGAACAATGCTGCTGTAGTCTGAATGCTTTTTCCTCATACAGGATTCCAGAACACTGCTGCTGGGTTGTGAGTGTTTCTCCCTCACATAGGATTCCAGAACACTGCTACGAGGGTCTGAATGTTTGTCCCACACATAGGATTCCAGAACACTGCTGCTATGGTCTGAATGTATGTCCCTCACATAGGATTCCAGAACACTCCCGCTGGGTTCTGAATGTTTGTCCCTCACTTAGCATTCCAGAACAATGTTACAAAGGTCTCAATGTTTGTCCCACAGGTAGAATTC